>NC_000006.12:67761897-68064927 GCF_000001405.40 Homo sapiens | reverse complement strand
ATGCTGGCAACTGAAATAAGTTTTCTTGCTAATATTACTAAGATTACTACACAGAGTTCATAATTTCTTTCTAATTACATTTATCCTTAATATATTTCTATGATGGATAGTAGGATTGTCTCCATTCTTTGTTTCCATTATTTCCATTCTTCCAATATTATTAACAATAAGATAACTAAATAGAGTTCATAATTTCTTTCTAATTATATTTATCTTTAATATATTTCTATGATGGATAGTAGAATTGTTTCCATTCTTTGATTAACAAGTCATGCCGCAATGAATAATCTTATGTAAAAGATTTTCATATTTTTGCTATAAGATTGGGGCTAGATTTCTAGAAGTGGAATTGTTGGATCAATGAATAAATGCTTAGATAATTTTGTTACCTGGTTTGCCATGTCTCTTTCACTTATTTTATTTTTCATATCCAGAGCAAATAGCCATTTCCCCACAATCTCACTAACAGAAAATGCTGTCACAGTGTGGACCAACCTAATAAGTGGGAAATGATAAGCATTTCTTCTTTTATTAACTTCTCATGTTTCCAAGGATAATTTTTTTGTAATCCATCTCAACATATCATTGGCTATTTTTCCATTGGGTTACCAGTCTTTTATTTTCATTTCTAGTACCAATATTTTGCATTAGTGACACTGATTGTCAATTGTCATTTACAATATGGTATCACTTGTCTGCCGTATATAGAATTATTATACTTTTATGTAGTTCAAATTTACTATGTATTTTTATTTTGTATTTTTTGTTATTCTTTGGAGTTGTTATGGGTTGAGTTTTTCCCCACTCTCAAAAAAAAAGGTATGTCAGAGTTTTAACCATAATTAGATTAAAATGAGGTCATTAAAGTGGGCTCTAATTCAATCTCTTATGTCCTTAGAAAAAGGGAAAATTTAAACACAGAGACGCACATAGAGGAAAGATGTGGAGAGACACGGGAGAAAATCACTGTGGATAAGCCAAGAAGAGAAGCCTGAAACAGGTTTTCCACTCCCAGCCCTCGGAGCAAATCTTGCCAACCCCTTGATTTAATACTTCTAGACTTCAAAAATGTAAGCTGTTAAATTTTTGTTGTTTAAGCCACTTGGCTTGTCGTACTTTGTTGTGGCAACTCTACAAGAAAATGTTTCCCTACTCTTAGGTTTTAACCAAATTTGCCACTGTTTTCTTTTAGTGTTTTAGTGCTTGTACAGTGTTTTTTCCTTTTCTGTTATTTAGATTATTGATATTTTTGGCATTTGTAGTAGAATATGTTTCATAAGAACAGATCTAATTTTATCTTTGTACTTTAAATATCTATCCAGTCGTTCCTGGAGAGGATTATTTATTAACAAGTCTTTTTTTTTTTTTTTTCGCTCTGTCGCCCAGGCTCACTGCAAGCTCCACCTCCCGGGTTCATGCCATTCTCCTGCCTCAGCCTCCAGAGTAGCTGGGACTACAGGCGCCCGCCACCACGCCCGGCTATTTTTTTGTATTTTTAGTAGAGATAGGGTTTCACCATGTTAGCCAGGATGGTCTCGATCCTGACCTCATGATCCGCCTGCATTGGCCTCCCAAAGTGCTGGGATTACAGGTGTAAGCCACCATGTCCGGCCACAAGTCTATTTTTTTCTCTACGTATTTGAGATGCCATTTTTATCTTATACTGAATTTCACCATACACTTGGATCTATTTCTATAATTTCCATTCAGTTTTATTGGTCTGTGTTGTCCATTTATGCATAACTACCATACTCATTTAATTATGTAGCCTTTATAGTATGCTTTAACATCCTACAGACTAGCTCTACCCACCTTTACCTCCCAAACTCTGTCTCTCACACACTCATGCAAACAAACACACATTTTGCTTTTTTTAAATCTAAGTGTTTACTTAGCTATTCTGGTATTTTTCTTTCTTTTTTCCTAGAAACTTTTAAATAAAAATTTCAAGCTGCAGAATAAAAAATAAACTTATCTGTTGTAATTATATTAAATTTATAATTAACTTAGAAACCATTAGCAGCTTTTTGATGTTGAATTTTCTATTCATGAGTATGGTATGTCTTTCCATTTGTTCAAGTCTATGTTTTTGCTTTTCAGAAATGACTTTTATTCTTTGATAAGTTTATGTTTAGATATTTTAGTTATTTTAAATGTCATGTTTTAATCCATCATGTTATCTAGTTGGCTATTACTTGCACATATAAAGGCTATTAATTTATGAGTTAATTTCTCATTTTATTTCATTAAATTGGAGAATATTTTATATCTTTTCTGATTTTTAATGCCTCTATTTGCTTTGATTACATTGAAGATATGTTCAATATATTACTAGTTATAGTAGCCAACCTTGTATTTTTTCTGACATTACTAGAACTGACTTTAGCATTCCTTTCTCATGTAATATGCAGGATTTGTGCCTGATACGTAAAGAAGTGCATGTATTTCTTTGGCATGTTATTTAAGTATTTATTAATTAATGTGTATTTTACTAGTGTTCCTTAGACCTATTAATATGAATCGTTATAGTAATGCATTTCTTAATATTCAACTGCATGCTTCTTCATGGAATAAATCTGGGTCATGATGTGTAATTTTTATAAATATTTATAAATAGGATTTATCTGTATTTTTTGTGTGTAATCTTTACAATGTTTTGATATCAATGCTAAATTTGTTTTCATAAAATGAATTTATAAGTTGTGTTTCTCCTGAAGTTTTACTTCAATGAGGATAATTATGCCTTAAAACAAACTTCTGGAAAGTTAATAGAAAATATCGTTACTAATTGTTATCTTGCCTGAATACTCCATTATCTACTCCAAATACAGAGATAGAGAAGATTGTTGATGATAAAGTTTTGATTAACATCTGCTCAAGATTATGGTATTTCAGAAGTGATAAATAAATGGAACACTGTGTTCAAGATTCAATTGCTTATTTTTTTTCTGTCTTATTTTGAAAGGCAGAGGATAAAGTGGAAAAAAGGGAATGGAAAGTGAAAAGTGCTATGTCTATGTTTTTTGACTTCAAGATTCAAGAAGATGAAGTCTGCAATATAGATTCAGTCATTAGGTCTCTGGTTTTAAAGATTTAGTCCAAGGACAAAGTCATCTGTAAGCCTGCCTAGGCATTATTTACTGATCTTCTCAAATCTGTCATCATAGTTATGCTCAGAGGTGGCATCCAAGAAGCACATAAACAATTCCACATCTTATTTCATCTTCAAGAAATATTGTGTAAGTTTGCATTCAAACCAAATAGTGAGGTTGATGATGCTCTTTGGAAAATTACTCCTGGTAATACAAATATGCAACAAATTTAGATTTTCCATGAACCTGAGCATTTTGAGGTTTTGCTTCAATTGAAGATGTGAACGAACAAATAACAAAAGGAAAACAACTTCCACCCTTGTCTTAATTTAAAAAATAAATTTACCAGTCACTTGGAACTTCCATGACTGCTAGCTAATAAAAAGTACGAACCTGACAACCATTTTCTCTTAAAAATATCTTTTTTTAAAAAAAAAAAGTCTTCCATAAAGTCCCTAATCACATTGCCTTGTAAGGCAAAGCTCCTAACTCATTCTTAGAATAAGGAGGGAATAAATAATTAATACGTATATAAGTCCTCACATTCATATATAAAATTGTAAAAATACTGAAGGGTTGATTCATTTTGAAATAAAGCTAACTCCTTCCTTTGCATGGCAAATGTTTCTCTCTAGAGCCATGCCAGTTTCCCATTGCATTAATTAATGAGGGAGAAAGCCTCAGATGAAACTTTTATGTAGCAAGGTAACAGGTATTCATCATTATATGCAGCTTGACTTGAGGGTGACAGATGGAGAGCTTATGATCTTTTGAACCATTAACTTGAAAACTTTAAACTAGCCTGTGGTCGCAGCAGCCAAGAATTTAAAGTTACTATTTTTTTCATTCTCTCTCTCTCTTTTTTTTTTTTTTTTGCACATCAGAATCAGTGTCTTGTGAAAAATTTATTTAAAAATATATCTTTACTTCATTTTCTAGCTGTATCATATAATGGTACCTGATTTCTCACTTACAATTTTATTTTGGGGGGAAAATATAACTTTCTCTGATACATTTATTTGGCTTCTATTATTTCGATTTTAGCTTTTCAATGATTGCAGAAAAAAATGGTATGAAAATTTTTTTTATTTGTAATTTTTGTGGGTACTTAGTAGGTGTATATATTCATGGTGTACATGAGATAGTTAAAAATAGTATTTCTTTAATCGGTACCACAAATTCCCATGTCACATGTTTACTTATGTAACAAACATGCACATCCTGCACGTGTACCCCTGAACTTAAAATACAAGTTATAAATAAAAATAAAAATGATATTTCTTAAATCAAATTAATTTGGATGTGTATATAATGAAATATCAAGAAAGCGTAATAGTTAATAACTCTTATTTTTATTGTTTTTCATGAAGCTAATGGTTACATTTTGTTGGTTAAGGCTTTGTATTTAAAGGAAATATTTTAAAAATTATAGTATAAAATAAAACATTTGCTCATGAATCCTTTACTTCTATGTCAGGAGATATAAAATTGTATTCATTTAGCTCATTTTCTCTGTTGATCCCAAAGAAAAGACTCTGTGAGGTTGCCACTATAGTCAAACATTTTGAATTTCCTGCATTTTCTCTGCTATTATGTTGACTTAATCTGTGATTTAAATGATTATGCTTCGCAACACTTTCTGCTTTTCCTCGCTCCAAGTTTGTCTCCAGCTGCTCCTTGTTGAGGGTTTTGTTCTCTTTTCAACAGGAAAGAACGTCCACCCACACCAGCTTGAAGTGCCTTATTAATGTCAACCAAAAATGTAAAACAGAAAGTTTCAGTATCGGTTCCAGATGTAAAATTCTCAATATCAAACATCTTTCTTTTCTTTTTTGTAAAGGCAAAGAAAAGTGAAAGTAGATTATGGATGTTAATTAACATGCATTAGATAACTTCTACCAGTCTCACACTTTTAGATGAATTATTTATTTTAGTTCTCACAACAGGCTTTCACATGTTTTCCAATAATTTACACGTGATCTACATTTGGAAAAGTAATAGTCTTAAGTTTTTTTTTTTTTACATTGTGAAATAACACACAATTACTGATTCCTGATTTGGATGCAAGCTTAGCTTGTCTTTCTTCAGAATACGTGCTCTTTCAATTACCTCATCTTGATCAATGTAATAAATGTATGTTTTTTTGGTTTTGATTACCCAGCAATTTGAACTTATGTTACCAGACTACTACATTGTTCCCTGCTTTCCAGAGTGAGTGGTGGAAAGTCCAAATACTTGTTCTCTTTACTCTGTGACAGCTAGATTATGGCCCATAACTTAGATTTGGCCCATCAGCTATACCTGCCTTTGAATCTGTAGGGAGTGTCACAAGGAAGCAAAGGCAGTTTAGAATTTACTTTTCAGGGTAGCAGCACTACCGCACTGTCCATGGTGACCCACCAGAATAGCAGTGGCAGTTATGATCTAGCCTTCTGGCCTTTGTTTCTGTATTCAGTGTTTGGTCCTCTAAGATGGTCCTGTAGTAATTTCTCCATTAATTTTGAGGGATACACAAAACAGGCACTCCAAATTCCTGTTCTGCTTGTTAACCACAGTTAATTTCCCAAGAAATGGGATTAATGTGGAAGATAATAAATCAGTTTTCTAGTGGTTAATATCAATACTAGAGAAAATCGGTATAATAAATATAAGTGACATTATTACTTAGGTTCCTAATATTTATAAAATTTAATATAGTGTTCCAGTGAGTTGGGGAAAAAAATAAAGTGCTGTAACTTAGCTATTCATGTAAGTGATCCTTTTCCTGAATATATTTACGCCTAGAAATTCATATGTTATATGTCTATAATATAATACTAGTGTACATGTATTCATGGTAATTCTTACAGCTTTCTTCTATGAGCTAGCCCTAGTCCTCATTTTGTAATTTTAAAATAAACTTCTAATTTATTTTCCGTTTTTAAAGGTTTCTCACTTGCATTCATTCAGGAATAGAAAGAAACATCTTTCTCTTAAATAATGGGATTGATTCTTTTTCTGAAGTACTAGCATACAAAAACCAGTCTTAATTTTCTGTATCCTGGTTGCTTATCAGATTTTAAGAATTTTAACACGATTAATTTAAATATAATTCAACAAATCCAACCTTCTCATTTAATAGGCATGCAGATCACCAGAAAAAAATGTATGTATATATGGTTATATATAGCCACTGCTGAGCATGAGTTCAAGTCTCTTTTTATTTGTTAAGTACTTACTATGTGTTAAGAATTGTTCTCATGCTAAGAATTGCTACTGTATAAGTCCATATAAATGCTTTAATTATTAACGTATTTAATCCTTTTAACAACAAAGTGGGACATTATGCCCATTGGTAGATAAGAAAATTGAGACACATAAAAGTTACATAATTTGTCTAAGGTCATAGAGCTAGTTAGTGTCAGAACAAGCACACAAATACAGGTAGCCTGGCCCCTCACATGTTGCTCTCTCAGCCGTTGGACTCTACTGCCTCCCAGGTCTTTGGGTGCTTTCCGAAACAGCAGCCCAAATTATTTGGCTGCATATTTACTAGACTTATCATTTTACTCCCCAAAGATATGTCTTATTTTTGTTTTATTTTATCTTCCAAAATATTATCTCTAAGACTGATAAGTAAGATGGCTTATTTTTTTCTTTTTTTATTATTATTATACTTTAAGTTCTGGGATACATGTGCAGAACATGCAGGTTTGTTACATAGGTATACATGTGCCATGGTGGTTTGCTGCACTTGTTAACCAGTCATCTACATTAGGTATTTCTCCTACTGCTATCCCTGTCCTAGCCCCCCACCCCCGATAGGCCCCAGTGTGTGATGTTCCCTTCCCTGTGTCCATGTGTTCTCATTGTTCAACAGCCATTTATGAGTGAGAACATGGAGTGTTTGGTTTTCTGTTCCTGTGTTAGTTTGCTGAAAATGACAGCTTCCAGCTTTATCCATGTCCCTGCAAAAGACATGAACTCATTATTTCTTATGGCTGCATAGTATTCCATGATGTATATGTGCCACATTTTCTTTATCCAGTCTATCATTGATGGGCATTTGGATTGGTTCCAAGTCTTTGCTATTGTGAATAGTGCCGTAATAAACATACATGTACAACTTATAAGGGATGTGAAGAATCTCTACAAGAGAACTACAAACCACTGCTCAAGAAAATAAGAGAAGACACAAACAAATGGAAAAACATCCCATGCTCATGGATAGGAGGAATCAATATCGTGAAAATGGCCATACTGCCCAAAGTAATTTATAGATTCAATGCTATCCCCATCAAGCTACCATTGATTTTCATCAAATAATTAGAAAAAACTACTTTAAATTTTATATGGAACCAAAAAAGAGCCTGTATAGCCAAAACAATCCTAGGCAAAAAGAACAAAGCTGGAGGCATCATGCTACCTGACTTCAAACTATACTACAAGGCTACAGTACCAAAACAGCATGGTACTGGTACCAAAACAGATATATAGACCAATGGAACAGAACAGAGGCCTCAGAAATAACACCACACATCTACAACTATCTGATCTTTGACAAACCTGACAAAAATAAGCAATGGGGAAAGTATTCCCTATTTTATAAATGGTGTAGGGAAAACTGGCTAGCCCCATGCAGAAAACTGAGACTGGACCCCTTCCTTACACCTTATACAAAAATTAACTCTAGAGGGATTAAAGACTAAAACATAAGACCTAAAATCATAAAAACCTTAGAAGAAAACTTAGGCAGTACCATTCAGGCCATAGGCATGGGCAAAGTCTTCATGATTAAAATACCAAAAACAATGGCAACAAAAGCCAAAATTCACACATGGGATCTCATTAAACTAAAGAGCTTTTGCATAGCAAAAGAAACTATCATCAGAGTGAACAGGCAACCTACAGAATGGGAGAAATTTTTTGCAATCTATCCATCTGACAAAGGGCTAATATCCTGAATCTACAAAGAACTTAAACAAATTAACAAGGAAAAAAACAAACAACCCTATCAAAAAATGGGTGAAGGATATGAACAGACACTTCTCAAAAGAAGACATTTATGCAGCCAACAAACATATGAAAAAAAGTTCGTCACTGGTCATTAGGGAAATGCAAATCAAAACCACAATGAAATACCATCTCACACCAGTTAGAATGGCCATCATTAAAAAGTCAGGAAACAATAGATGCTGGTAAGGATGTGGAGAAATATGAAAGCTTTTACACTGTTAGAGGGAGTGTAAACTAGTTCAACCATTTTGGAAGTCAGTGTGGCGATTCTTCAAGGACCTAGAACCAGAAATACCATTTGACCCAGCAATCCCATTACTGGGTATATACCTGAAGGATTATAAATCATTCTACTATAAAGACACAAGATGACTTATTTTTACTAAATTATAATTTATGCATCTGAAGGGGCATCAGCTTTTCAAAGTAGCCACTTAAACCACGGATATTGCCTGTGCTTAAGATATATTGTAATTGCCAGGCAATCTGAAAAGACTTTTCAGGCAGCAAGTCTTTATTTTGGATGCTGGATTTGACTTTTGCAAACAAGAAAAAAAATTTCAAAAGTATTTATTGTGTTGAGGTGAACATCAAAATAAATGATAGCATTGTAGGCAAATAATATTTAATGTAATAAGATGTTTCATTTGTGTGTGTTTGTGTGTGTTTGTGTGTGTGTGTGTGTGTGTAATGTTATTGAGAAGATATTTCAAAGGGGGAGCTCTTTAGATATTTTGAGTCATCACAAGATCCTTAACATTGGTGGATATTGTCCCAGGTTTACAACACTGAAAAGGACAAAGGATACCATTAGCTATGATATGTCCAGTGACACTATAAGTGAACTAAACAAAGATATTCTTTTGACCTTTAACCACATTTCAAATTTTTCTTCTATATTCCTGATATTATAGATGTGGAATATGTGATACAGAAAAACTAAGTTCATTTTTGGTAAGAGCATTCCTGAAGACACAAACAAGAAAAAAAGTTTGTTTTTTTTTTTTTTTCTCTTTGTTTTTACTCTTCTACCTTAGAAGAGGCAATAAGGTGGTTGAATGTTAAATTATACTATTTTTACTATCATTCCTATATTAAAAAAAAAAGGTTGAATTTGTGTTTGGAAACTCATTTTTAAAGCTTTTGGAGAACATGTTTACCTTTGCATTGGTAATTTTTAAATATAAGCAAAATTTTAAAATCTGTTATAAGTATTTTTTTCAGAATAAAAGAAATAAATTTTAAAAATTACTGAAGTAAAAAAATTACAAAATCTCTATGCAAATAGTGCAATTTGTTGAAACAATTCTAAATGCTAGTAACTATTTATGAAACAGTTCAACACTGGAACAAGAATGTGATTTCCATGTCTTCTCAACTCCTTTTAATAAGTCCTTTTATTTACCTTCAGTATGTAGTTAGGTTAAGCGCCAGTGGTCAAACTGGAAAATCTTGTAATTTACGGCAAAAGAAAGATTATTTGAAATATCCAGGTTCACTTGAAACTAGAGAAAATTAAATTATTTTTATGACCGAAAAATCATTACTGAAATGAAAACTCTATGTCTAACAAAAGCCAAACATATTGAAATAACTTCCCTTAAATTATACAAACAATACTTAACAAAGCTCTACTGAGAATTCATTTTCTTTTAAAATTCTTATTTCATTTCCTATTTCTGTTCCTCAGAAAATCTGGCAAATCTCATCCAGTGCAGTCATCCTGTACATGCTTACTTATGGCCATATATTTCACTGGCTGTTTCTGAAGGAAGAATGTAAAAGAGATAACTTATTTACTGCTGCATGAATTCATATTTCCCAAGTCACATAACAGTTTGCTAACTTGGTTGGAATTTATAGACTGGTATGTTGTGGGTAACATTAGTTCTACCCTAAGAATGTCTTTTTTGTAGTACCCTACAGACTATGCTTAATAAACCATGGTTTAGTGTTTTGAATAATTTCAACAAAGGAATAATTTTAGAGTGATGAACTTCACGGACAGGATAGTGTGTTGCTACTTTATAGCTGTATTCACACACTGATTTTGCATCTACTAGATTCCAGATGTTTTCTTTTGGAACATGTTCAAATTGAGAAGACTGATGAGAAGCCCCAATCTCTGTAATTACCAGAAATGTAACTATATGCCAAAGGCATTGCTGAGAGTATTTTTCATTTATTGACACTGTTTTTTTAATGTAAGTAATTTCAGCAGCTATTTCATAACATATCTTTCAAGATCTGCCCCTTTACATATTTCTTCCTCAATTATTTAATCATTATTCAAATGAAGCCTTTTGATTATATAACTTAGAGTGATGAATTTCACTTTTAAATTTTGATGATGAAAGGCAAGAGAAAGTGATAAATAAAACAAATGAATACACCTGCTCCCTTCACATAATGACAGGGTCTAAAATCTCCAAAAGCTCTTAGAACAAAGACAATTCACATGCTTGAAATTATTCTCTACAAAATTCTATGTTGTTGTCTTTGAACTCTCATTTCTGTTACATTTTATCACATACATACTTATCTTTATCCATATAATATCAGCAACTTGAGTTTTCCATTTTAACCCAAAATATACTATAAGACATTTATCAGCAGATAATAGCCTAAGCTGCCATGACAGGGCAAGAACTTGTGCATTTTTTTGGCGGGGAAGATTTCATTGCCCTCCTGCTACACACTGTTACATCTCATTCAAGTCCACATTATCCTTCTGTTATTTACTTCTCAACGTTAATATTTTCAGATAGGTTCCTGTCAGCTAGTTGACAAAGATTCATTTATCATTCAAACAATTCAGTGCATGCTTGGCTTTACTCATATTCCCAGATTAAAAGAAATGTCAGCGAATGTACAGTTATGAGATGACATAATCAGATAAGCTAACAGAGATAGACGTTATATGTATGACAAACAAATTATTCTCTCAGCCATTGTATGTATTTCTAAAGAGAAAGTTGTTGAACTAAATGAATGGATTCCCAGTGATGTAATACAGTGAGAGAAAGAGAAATGGGTCTTCATTCTTTCTAATATTCTCAATCTGTTTCCACAAACATTTCTCCTGAGCTGAAAAACTCGACCCAGCTTTCAGCTTTCCAAATAACTTCCTGATTCAAACAAAACAAAAATATCTCAAAAGAGAAACTTTTCAGTGCATGTTCTGTGAACATGAAAACCATCTTAGCATAATTTATAGTAACCATAACTGGAAGATATTTGAATATATTTAATACTTTATGCAACATTTTGGAAGGGGGCATGAAATATATCATTAATTTTTGAAATGAATTTCATAATAAAGTATTTAAATATGTGTGTTAAAATATTGAGTGCTACAAAAATAAAGCTAAATTGATATGGCACTTTCTAGGAGCTCAGACTTTCATAGTAGAAACTCTGATACTGAATGACAAAGAAACATTCAACTTAATAGTTAATTTTACCTCATCTCTTTATACCTCATCTATTTATCAGAGACACTACTAGACCTTAGACTAGCTCAGTAATATTATTATTAATATTGAGTAATAGCTCAATAATATCACAGTAATATTATTTTTATAAGATAAAAAATATTTCAATTTCAAATTAGCTTTAGAAATGTTGTGTAGCCATGCCCTTCTTTAATAGTCACAATGGACATTAATATTTGCAAGAATCTAATAGGCAGTAGTTAAGAAAAGTCTTAACTTTGCTGAAGTAGACATTTTAAAAATGTAATAGACTACAGAAACCAGAAAATCACTTAATGCTTACTAATATTTTGCTGAGCTCTGAGAATACACTTTGTGAATGTTGGGTCTTGTTGTTTCCATTTCTGGCATCCATGGATGGATTTCAAAGGGACTATCAGCTCCTCAAATTGTATACAGTCAGTTGGGTTTATTTAAATGCTTTCACATGGAGAGAGATTATTATTCTTTATTAGATGTCTGTGACTAAAAATATTGAAAACCCATTGACTTGAAAAGATTCTTAAGGAATTAAAAAAACAACCTTAAAAAGTGTCACATACATAATAATATTTCAATACCTCTTAACTATTATTCTTAGTGTTACTAAGCAAACATTTACATCATTATTCTGAATTATTTTATAGCACAATCTATATATCTGAAGATGAGTATATTAATCTATAGATATCTCTAGTTAAATTCGACATGATCCAAGATTTTCTATAAAGTAAGTTTGTGTTTAGCAAATATTATTTTCCCCCTAAAACCATTATTTTTTCTTAACAAATAAAATAAGGTACTTGATTCTTACCTAGTTATATAATAATGCACACAATTTTCCAAAATAATTACAAAAGAAAAGTAACAATTTTGCATACCAATGTACAATAGTGCTATACTCATAAAAAAAACATAAAGTAAAAAAAAATGCTGACAGTTAAAAATATGTTACCAGCCAAAGAATTTAGCCCAGGAATAGAAACACATAGATCTGGTCAACTGATATTTTACAAATGAGTAAAAGACATTTAATAGAGAAAGGATAGTGATTTCAACAAATAGTGCTGAACTACACATATATAGGCAAAAAATAAATTTAAATACAGATTTTGCACTTTTCACTAAAATTAATTCTCAATGGATGGTAGAACTAAGTGTAAAACACAAATAGCAACCTCCAATGCAGAATTTTGCTGAATTTTTTAAAAAGTAGGTGTGATATGAATTTCTCTTTTGTCTCAGGTGACAGCAATATCCTTTGAGAATCTGAATGAGTAGTGAACATCCAATTTCCTTGTTTTTCCTTAGTTCTTGTAAAAGAGTAGTTTTCTTTTTGGCCCCTTTACAGTTTCTCTAACTTTGTACTTCTTCAGTCCAATTTCTGAAGTTTGAGTGCATAAAAATGATTGCAAAAAAATTAAATCTAAAATCTGGAAGATAACATAGAAAAATCTAGGAGAACTTGAGTTTGGCAACGTTTTCTAAGAATAAAAAAACAAGAGCACCATTTTAAAACAAAATCAAGTTGGGCGTTATTAAAATTAAAAACTTCAATTTTGATAAGGACACTGTTAAGAGAGAAAAGCCAAGACAAATCACAAACGGGGGAAAAAAAATGAAAAATGCAAAGCTAACCTAAAAGTCTTTGTATATCTAAAATGTAAAAATAATTTCTGAAACTAAATAAGAAACCAACAATTCAATTGAGAAACCGACCAAAGATCCGAACAGACATCTCACCAAAGGAGATATCTATCTATCTATCTATCTATCTATCTATCTATCTATCTATCTATCTCTATAGATATAGATATATCTATATATCTATATCTATCTAGATATATCTATATCTATATATCTATCTAGATATATCTATATCTATATATCTATCTAGATATATCTATATCTATATATCTATCTAGATATATCTATATCTATATATCTATCTAGATATATCTATATCTATATATCTATCTAGATATATCTATATCTATATATCTATCTAGATATATCTATATCTATATATCTATCTAGATATATCTATATCTATATATCTATCTAGATATATCTATATCTATATATATCTATATCTAGATAGATATATAGATATAGATATGAATAGAAAAATAAATAGAATAAATAATAAATAGAGTATGTCTTCTTCCTATATGCATGTATGTCAAAGAATACATATGCATATAAATAGAGCTCTATTTCATATGTCATTAGGGAATTGCAAATTAAAACAGTGAACGGATGCCATCACACACCTACTAGCATGGTTAAAATGCAAAATCTAGACATTGCTAAATGCTGGCGAGGATGTTGACTAACAGAAACTACAATTCATTGCTTGTGGAAATGCAAAATGGAACAGACACTTTAGAAAGTAGTTTGGCAGTCTCTTACAAGGTTAAAAATAGTCTTACTATAAAGTCTAGCAATTGTGTTCCTGGTATTTATTCAAAGGTACTGATAACTTACGTCCACATAAACACCTGCTCACAAATGTTCATGTCAGCTTTATTAACAATTGTCAAAACTTAAAAGTAACCAAGATGTCCTTCAATAGGTGAAAGAACAAAGAAACTTGTATATCCAAATGGTGGAATGTTATTCAGTGATAAAATGAAATGAGCTATTAAGCCTTGAAAATTTATGAACTTAAATACATATTAGTAAGTGAAAGAAGCCAATCCGAAAAAGCTACATACTATATAATCCCAACTCTATGACATTCTGGAAAAGACAGAAATACAGAAAGAAAAAAAGTTCAGTAGTTGCCAAGTGCTCGGGGGGTACAAGGGAAGGATGAATAGATGCAGAACAGGGTATTTTTAGGACAGTGAAACTATTATGGGTGATAATATAACAACAAATACTAACAAATAAATATCATTCATTTCTCAAAATCAATAAAATGTGTAGCACAATAAGTGAATGCAAATGTAAACTATGGATTTTAGCTAAAATTATTGTGTCAATGTTGGCTCATCTGTTATAACAAATGTACCACACTAATGCACAATATTAATCATAGGGAAAATCAGGTTTGGGGATGGGAGCCAGGAGGTTTAAGGAAGCTCTCTGCACTCTGCTCAATTTTACTATAAATTTAAACGACTCTGAAAAATGAAGTCTACTAAGTAAAAAATTAAAAACATGGTGCCAGTGCAAATAATCCGAATAATTTTATTGCCTTACATGGTAGACACCAAAGTATGAGAAACTATTCTTAAAGTAGAAAAATTGCTTTAAACAAATTAATCTCATTTATTCAGTCTTTTAAAAAAATTTTCAAAACTAATGTGTTTTGTTTTGTTTGGTTTTTGCGTATTTCCAGGCACTTTCACCTGGAGAAAGTGTGTGATATTTGGCTGTGTGTAGGTAGCAATGCATTAAATCACAAATTAAGGTTTTTATTTGCATCTAGCCAATGAAATTCACACATTAGTAAACTCTTCTCAGAATGAAACAGTTGGCTGATTTAAATTATGGTTATTACCCTAAGGGCTTGATGCAGTGCTACTCACGTCACAGATTGGTTTATTTGTTACATATAAGCTGCAACAAATTTAGGGATAAAAGGGAAAACTGCTGACTAGGGTACTTCTGATACATAGGAATGCTTAACTGGAAATTTTGCCATACTCTGTTATTACACTGGCCCGGCGAAACAGAGCCTCTGTCCGCTGTATTGACATCACCAAAGCGAGGCAATATACTTTTGGTGCTGGATGTCCATGAGACTCATATAAGCAGATGTGGTCTAAGGTATATTTCAAATGCCAAAGTTGATTTTAGTTAATATCTATCAAAAATTCCCATTTTATGGGTTAGTGTAGTCTCTGTTTTTTAAATTGTATATTGACAAATTATGGTTGTATATATTTACAAGGTACAAGGTGTTGCTATAATTTTTGAATACAATGTGGAATGATTAAACTAAGCTAATTAACATACTTATCACCTCAACTATTTAACAGCTTTTGTGATGAGAACATTAGAAATTAACTGTCAGTAATATTGAAATGAACAGTATGCAATTATTAGCTATATTTAACATGCTATGCTTTTGAAAAGAAGTCAGGCTTATTCCTGCTATCTAACTGAGGTTTTGTACCCTTTAGCTATCATCTCCCCATTGCCTCTAACCTTCAGCCTCTCGAAACTACCATTCTACTTGGGTCTTCTGTGAGTTCAATTGTTTTAGATTTCACACGTAAATGAGAACATGCAGTATTTGTCTTTTTGTGTTTGGCTTTTTTCACTTGTATAATCTCCTCTACTTCCATCCATGTTGTTGCAAATGACAGAAATTCTCCCTTTGATAAGGCTGAATTGTAGTCTACTAAGTATATATCCCACGTTTTCTTTATTCATCTATCCCATGATGGACCCTTAGGTTGAATTAACATCTTGGCTATTGTGAATAGTGTGGCAATGAACATGGGAGTGCAATACATACTGATTTCAAATCTTTTTTTTTTTTTTTTTTTGAGACAGAGTCTCATCCTGTCCCCCAGGCTGGAGTGCAATGGCATAATCTAGGGTCACTGCAACCTCCGCCTCCTGGGTTCTAGTAATTCTCCTGCCTCAGCCTCCTGAGTAGCTGGGATTACAGGCACCTGCCACCACATCCAGCTAATTTTTGTATTTTTGGTAGAGACAGGGTTTCACCATATTGGTCAGGCTAGTCTTGAACTCCTGACCTCAGGTGATCCACCCGCTTCAGCCTCCTAAACTGCTGGGATTACAGGCATGAGCCACTGCACCTGGGCGATTTCAAATCTTTTGGGTCAGTAGTCAGAAGAGGGATTGCTGGACCATATGGTAATTCTATTTTAGTTTTTCAATGATACTTCATGCTGTTTTCTATAATGGTTATACCAATTTACATTTCTACCAAGACTGTACAAGTGTTCCCTTTTCTTTACATTCTTAACAACCATTGTTATTTCTTGTCTTTTTTATAAAAGCCATTCTAAAAGGCGTGAGGTGATATCTCATTGTGTTTTAACTTATGTCTGCCTAATGATTAACAATGTTGAGCATTTTTATGTATCCGTTAGCCATTCCTTTGTCTTCTTTTGAGAAGTGTTTATTCATGCCCCTTGCTTGTTTTTTAATCAAATGATTTCTTTTTTCTTTTATAGAGTTGAGTTTCTTCTATGTTTTGGATATTAGTTCTTTATCAGATGTATGGCTTGCAAATATTTTTTCTCAATCCAAGGATTGTCTCTTCACTGTTATTAATTATTTCCTTTGATAGGCAAATTTTAAAACATTTTGTTGTAATCCTATTTTTCTATCTTTGGTGTTGTTGCCTGCCCTTTAGGGGTCAAATCTAAAAAATCATTGCCCAGCCCAATGTCAAGTGGTTTTTCTTCTTCTTTTTATTTTTTTCTAGTAGTTTTATAGTTTCATGTCTTAAGTTTAAGTCCTTTTTTTATTTTAACTTTTCTTTTATGTTCAGGGGTATATGTTAGGGTTTGTTACATGGGTAAGCTTATGTAATGAGGGTTTGTTGTAAAGATTATTTAATTGCCGAGGTATTATGCTCAGTACCCAAGATTTGCCTTTTCTGCTCCTCTCCATTCTCCCACCTTCCACCCTCAAGTAGACCACAGTGTCTATTATTTTCTCTTTTGTGTCCATGTGTTCTCATCATTTAGCTCCCACTTATAAGTGAGAACACGCAGTATTTGGTTTTCTGTTCCTGCATTAGTTTGCTAATTATAATAGCCTCCAGCTCCATCCATGTTCTGGAAAAATATATGATATTATTCTTTTTATGACTGCATAATATTCCATGATATATATGTACCATATTTTCTTTTTCCAGTCTGTAATTGATGGGCATTTAGGTTGAATCCATGTCTTTGCTATTGTGAATATGCTGCAGTGAACATTTGCATGCATGTGTCTTTATGGTAGAATGATTTTCCTTACACCATATGCAAAAATCAACTCAAAGTAGATTAAAGACTTAAACGTAAAACCCAAAACTATAAAAATTCTGGAAGACAACCTAGGCAATATCATTCTGAACACAGGAATGGGCAAAGGCTTCATGACAAAGACACAAAAAACAATTGCAACAAAAGCAAAAATTGACAAGTGAAATCTAATTAAACAAGAGCTCTGCACAACAAAATAAGTATCAACAGACTAAACAGACAATCTACAGAATAGAAGAAAATATTTGCAAACTATGCATCTGACAAAGGTCTAATATCCATCTTCTATAAAGAACTTCAGCAAATTTACAAGACAAAAACAAACAACCCCATAAAAAAGTGGGCAAGGGATATGAACAGACACTTTATAAAAGAAGATATACATGCAGCCACCACCATGTGAAAAAAAGCTCAATATGACTAATCATTAGAGAAATGCAAATCAGAACCACAGTGAGATATCATCTCAAACCAGTCAGATCCGCTACTTTTAAAAAGTCAAACAATAACAGATGCTAGCAAAGTTGTGGAGAAAAGTGAACACTTATGCATTGTTGGTGGGAGTGTAAATTAGTTCAACCATTGTGGAAAGCAGTGTGAGATTCCTCAAAGAGCTAAAAGCAGAACTCCCATTCAACACAGCAATCCCATTACTGGGTATATATCCAGAAAAATGTTTGTTTTTCATCCATTTTTTTAGTTGATTTTTGTATACAATGTGAGATAAGGGGCCAATTTCATTCTTTTGCATGTGGATACCAAATTTTACCTATACATTTATTGAAGAGACTGACCTTTTCCCATTGTATATTCTTGACACCTTTGTCAAAGACCAATTGATCACCAAAGTATGGATTCTTTTCTGAGCTTCCTATTCAACATACGCAAATCAATAAATGTGATATACCACATTAACAGAATTAAGCAAAATCATATGATCATCTCAGTAGACAATGAAAAAAAGCATTTGGCAAAATCCAATATCCTTTCATGATACAAACTCTCAAAAAATTATGGGTTAAGGGCAGGGTTAAGATTAGAGTCAGAAGGAAAAAAAGAAAAAAATATTCAGTATAGAAGAAATATATCTTAACACAATAAGAGCCATATTTGAAAAACCCACAGCTAACATCATACTCAATGTGGAAAAGTTGAAAAGTTTTCCTCTAAGATCCTAAACAAGATAAGAATGCCCACTTGTACTACGTCTATTCAATATAGTAGTAGAGGTCTTAGCCAGAGCAGTGAGGTCAGAGAAAAAAATAAAAGATATTCAAATTATAAAGAAAGAAGTTAAATTATCCCTTTTTGCAGATAACATGAATTTATACATAGAAAACCCTACATTTTCCACTGAAAACACTGTTTAAACTGATAAGTTCAGTAAAGTTGCAGGATACAAAATCAACATGCAAAAATCAGTAACGTTTCTCTGCTCTAACAATGAACTTTACCAAAACAAAATCAAGAGAATAATTCCATTTACAATAGCTATGAAATAATTACAAATACATTTAACCAAGAAGCTGAAAGAGCTGTACACTGAAAATTATAAAACATTAATATAAATTGAAGAAGATATAAATAAATGGAGACGTATCTTGTGTTCTTAGATTGGAATAATAAATGTTGTTAAAATGTTTGTACTACTAAAATGTTCTACAAATTCAATGTAATTCCTAACAAAACACTATGTGTTTTTTCATAGAAATAGAAAAAAGTAATCCTAAAATTCATATGAAAATGCAATAAACACATGAATAGCCAAGGAAATCATGAGCAAAAAAAAAAAAAAAAAAAAAAAGCTGAAGGCATCATACCACCTTATTTCAAACTATGTTACAATGTGATAGTAGTTAAAACGACATGGTACTAGCATGAAAACTGACACATTGATCAATGGAACAGTTTACTTTCTTTTACTAGTCACTTTAAGGTGCTTTATTAGGTGTCAGTACCAGAGACCAGTTATATTGAGAAATTCAGAAATGCATAGCACTTCATGCGTAGAGAATGAGAGGTTGTCCTGAGATATTCAAGAAATAAAAACCTCAAAGTAAGTATAAGGAAAAACACGTGAAAGATCTTGCTAAGTCAGACATTATTATTTTCTACAATATGAAATTGCATTAGCATTATGGATATAGTTAGCAAGTATGTACAGGAATGCACACACGCATATACTTTTCAGGCAAGAACACACTTGAGAGACCCAAACTAGCACATAGAAAAAGTTACCTGAGGACATGTTCTATTTTCTGTAGTTATTTTTTTTTTCTTAATAAAGCTTCTAGGTTAAGACATCACTGCATTTCAGCATATATTTATGATAACCTCTTTATGCCAGTCAGCTTAATATTCTGAACTTTCGATTTATTTCCCGTTTCTGTAACCCAGATAGCAACCTCCAAAGTGGAATTTTGCTGAAATTTTTATAAAAGTAGATGTAATGTGAGTATCTCTTTTTTCTCAGATGACAGCAATATCCTTTGAGAATCTGAATGAGTAGTGAACAGCCAACTTACTTGTCTGTCATTTAGTTCTTATAAAATAATACTCTTACTTTGGCCCCTTTCCAGTTTCTCTTTGTATTTCTTTAGTCTAATTATTAAAGAGTGTGAGAATATAAAATTGATTGCAAATATATTACTTATTTCAAGTCTTATCTTGCTTAAACCAATCCTGATTATAGTTTGCTTTGTCATAAATCTCTCAATTTGAAAACCGATATTTTCAAATACCACTCCTGCAGAAGCTGGTGGAAATTATTATTTTAAGCTAACAAATGTTTAAATAAGGTTTACATTGTTTCAAAATATTCTTATCAGCTAAAAATCAGGATTTTATACAGGTTGGGAATTCACCCAGAGTCTGATTTTATTTATTGTTCAACATGACTCTGGGGCATTTTAGGACCCAGATATTAGCAGAAATTGCTGGAACTCTGAATAGAATGCAAGGTGGAAAGAGTGACATTAGCTCAGGACAAGAACTCAGGTGGTATTGCACATTGCTGCCTCCAGAAGAGTTGATTCCTTCATCTCACTCAACCTCACTGTTGTGCTTACCCTGATTTTACAGAATCAATATGATCTCAAATTTTGGAAAAGGAATGGATTATTAAACTAATTTAATTCAATTTAAAATATTTAAGTTTAAATATGCTCTAAACCATATATTACATAATAATCTTTTGTTAAATCTATACCTTGTTTTTCCAATTTCTTATTTTTCTGGACATAATTACTGAATTATAGGCACTGAAAAATTATAACTGAGGATATTGATTCTTAAAATGTTTAATTTCTTAATATTTGAAGTGTTATTGATTCATTACATTGATATGCTTACAATTGCCCAGAAATTACATAGCAAACGGAGTTCAGTACTCAACATTTTAAAATTTATATTTTCTTTTAATAACTGTAAAAATCTCTTGTTTTCCTACCCTCAATTTAAAAATGTTGGACTATAATTTGAGTATCAATGTTCCATCTACGATATTATCTAAATCACTCAAGAGAATTCTGGAGAAATTTATTATGCCTATTATATAAATAGTTGTTGTTCACATCCAATTATATAAATTGCAGCCTGGAATTCATGATACCTTTCCTACAGCAGGAAGCTTATTTCTCTGAATGAGAATCTTTAGATTAGATGTTTTTAGGATTGCCAGAAACTCATTGGGTATTTTTTTCAACACAAAGGAAATCCGATTATTCTGCCACTACTTGTAGTATGTCAAAAAGCTCAACATGCAGTGCCCTATCTTTGCTCCTGCAGAGTTCAGACTCTAGTATGATTTTTGAAGCAATTTGCAAAGTTAAGGACAAAGTTAGTAAGCTGTAAGCATGTATTAAAATATCCTTACATTAAATCAGATATCTTCAGAATATAGTAGAGGGGCTTTTTTTTTTTTAATAGCAATTCAGGCCTAATCAGATTATCTTTTTTCCTAAATAAATTGGCTATTTTTGTCCTTATTTTCTTTATCTCCACCTACAAAATCTAACCCAAAGATTATTCTATTTACCCCTTGTTGGAAGTTTTTTTTTTTTTTTCTTGATGTTTTTAGAGCAGTTTTAGGTTCACAGCAAAATTAAGAGGAAGATACAGAGATTACCCATAAAAACCCTTCCCCATTTTTACCATTCCCCCACCAGTGTGGTATATTGTTATCACAATTGTTGAAATTACACTGATGCATCATATTGTCCAAAGTCCATAGTTTATATATGGGTTCACTCTTGGTACTCTACATTTTATAGGTTTTGACAAATGTATAACATGTATGTACCATTATGAAATCATACTGGTTTTTACTGCTCTGAAAATCCTCTGTGCTCTGACTATTCATTCCCCACTCTTCCATAACCCATGGCAATCACTGATCTTTTCATTGTTTCATAGTTTCACCATTTCCAGAATGTCATAAATGGAAATTATACAGTATTTAGCCTTTTCAGATTGGCTTCTTTCACTTAGCAGTATTTAATAAGTTAATTTCATAACTTTTCATGGCTTGATACCTTATTTCTTTTTAGCGCTAAACAGCATTTCATCATTTGGATGTTCCATATTTTGTTTGTCCATTAACCCATTTTAGGAAAGCTCAGTTGCTTTCACATTTTGTCAATTATTAATAAAGCTGCTTTAAACATTCACGTGCTGATGTTTCTATGGACATACCTTTTTCAGCTCCTTTAGGTACATGCCAAAAAGCTCAATTGTTAAATCTTATAATAAGGGTATGCTTAGTTTTGTGAAATGCTGCCAAACTAAGTTCCAAAATCGTTGTCTCATTTTGCAATGAATGAGAGTCTCTGTTGCTCCACAGCTTCCCAGCATTTGGTGGCTGCAGTGTTCTTGGATTTTGGCCATTTCAATAGGTGTGTTATGGTATCTCATTGTTATTTGAATGTGCATATTTCTGATGATACACGGTTTGGGCATCTTTTCATATGCTTTTTTGCAATATTTATGTATATTTTTGGTGAGGTTTCTGTTAAGGTCCTTAGCCCATTTTTGAAAATTGGAGTTTATTTTCTTTAACAGTCCTTTATCAGGTATGTGGATTGCAAATATTTCCGCTCAGTCTGTGGCTTCTCTTTTTATTCTCTTGACAGTGTTTTTTTGTTTTTGTTTTTGTTTTTTTCAGAGAAGGAACTTTTAAGTTTAACTTATCCCTGTTTATTAATTGTCTATTTCATAGATCATGCCTTTGGTGTCCTATCTAAAAAGTAATCACCATCCAAAGTCATCTGTGTTCTCTCCTATGTTATCTTCCAGAATTTTTATAGTTATAAAATATCCATTATGGTGTAAAATATCCATTTTAAATTAATTTTTGAAAAGGGAATAAAGTCTGTGCCTGGATTCACTCATTTGCATACAGATGTTCTGTTATTCCAGCACTGCTTGTTGAAAAGATTATCCTTTTCCCATGCTACTGCCTTTGCTCTTGTCAGAGATCTGTTTGCTGGATTTATATAAGTCTATTTCTGAGAACCCTATTTTATTCCACTGATATATTTGTCTATTTTTCCCCAATACAATACTGTTTTGAACACTATAGTTTTATAGGGAGTCTTGAAGTCAGGTAGTGTCAGTCTTCTGACTTTGTTATTCTCCTTTAGTATTAAGTTGGCTATTCTGGGTCTTTTACATAATTTCCATGTAAACATATGTTTAAATTTATTTATATTCGTTGATATTTTCAAAATATCTTGCTGAATTGTAGGGCATTGTTGTTGCTGTTGTTTTTAATGTTGCTAAATTAATCCAGTCAAGAACTCAAGCTTGATTTAATTGGCGGAATTATGTAATTAATCAGGGTAGTTCCTTCGTTTAACTAGTTATGAAATTATCACTGGATCCACTGAACCAAAGGTTACTGAGTGCTTATAATTATGTAAAACATTATATACAATGTTCCTATCCTTATTACAGTCAGCCTAAGTATTCTGTCATGTATCCAACTGCAATCATATCGCTTGATTTGGGTACAAAATAGGGTAAGTTGAAAAGGTAGAAGGCTGTTTTTTAAGGGTAGTAAAAAAAACTGCAGTGAATTTAAAAGCAAGTGAACTTAGTTTTTTTTTTTTTTTCCCTGTCCTCTATAGGAAAAAATAACAGTTACTAAGTAAAATGAAAACATTGATTATGTGTTAGACTGGTGGTCAGGGTGAACATTTACATCAACATGAAACCATGCAATCTGTATCACTGCAATAATTATATATTCAATCAGATGTATTTCAGAGGTATGTATGGTTAATACCGTGGAGCTGAGGTTAGGGAAGAAGAAAGAACAATGTACAAGCTAGCAAAGAGGCACAACACAAGCATTTAGATGTGCATTTGTTACTCTGCAGGCACTTAGAAGAGTAGAGAGGAAATAAACACAACGCCAATATGATAAAACAAACAAACAAACAAACAAACAAAAAAACAAAAAAACCTTGTGATCCAGAGGAGGTGCCAGCTGGACTTCCTGGGTTGAGTAGGGGCTCAGAAAGCTGTGAAAGTCACTCATTTCCTGCATCAGGACTTACTTCGGTCCTGGATGAATAATATTGAAGATACATGCTTAAAATATTCCTAACACCAGGATCTGTGCATGTGTTTTCTTCCCCAAGAAAGCTATAAACATCGAAACTTTTGCTGTAAGTTTCCCTGTGTCCTCTCTCTCTCTTTCTCTTCCGCCTCCCCCGAAACTAAAGTAAAAGGAACGTTAACTGCCTGTTTTTCTGTGACCAGCGGACCTTATCTATCCTCCCAATTCCAATTCCTTGAAAACATACTTTGTAACAAAGTCCTGTAAGATCCCGTCTCCTTTGCCATGCTGCTGCAAGTTCATAAAGTAGATAAAACCTAAGTTGCAATTCCAGTTTTCCTCAAGATCTAAGACATGTTACAAACGGTTAATTGCCTTTGTTTCTCGCTCTGGTAACATCTCGCCACACGTATTTCCGGCCTTAAAGAGTTTAAAAGGCAGTCACATAATCTAACTCTGGCTACCCGCTCGGGACCCCTTCCACACTGTGGAAGCTTTGTCCTTTCAATCTGCTCAATAAAGCCTACAGCCTTTTTCTCTCTCGGTCTGTGTCTCTATCCCTCACCACGGTCAGCTGCCACACAAATTCTTTGGCGTGGCTAGGCAAGAACCTTAGGCATTACATAATGATAAGTGAATAGTAGCATTTTTGTTCAAATTGTGCCCAAATGATTTTTTATTATAATTTAACTTATTGCATAACCCTCCCCCCCATCATTTCTAGGTCCTGAAAATATCCATCTACACATGCATGTTAATAAAACAATTTATAACAATCCAGTCTTCTAAATGTTCATATTTATCCTATTCTAATTTATTAGGGAGTACCTTTATATCAATGTAAAAACAGACTAATACAGAGAATTGGTACTGGGAGTGGGGCACTGCTATAAAGACAACTGGAAAAGGTTTGAAAAATTTGCAGCCTGACCCTGTGGTAGAAATGAAAAACCCATTTTCTGGGGAGGAATTCAAGCCTGCTGCAGAAATCTGCATCATAAGTAAAGACGAGCTGAATGCTAATAGCCAAGACAATAAGGAAAATGACTTTGGAACTGGGTAACAGGCAGAGGCTTTAACAATTTGGAGTGCTCAGAAAAAGACAGAAACGTGGAAAAATTTGGAACTTCCTAGAGACTTGTGGAATGGTTGTGACCACAATGTTAACAGTGATATGGACAATAAAGTACAGACTGAGGTGGTCTCAGATGGAGATGAGGAACTTATTGGAAACCGGAGCAAATATCACTCTTGCTATGATTTATTAAAGAGATTGGTGGCATTTTGTCCCTGCTTTAGAGATCTGTGAAACTTTGAACTTGAGAGAGACGATTTAGAGTATCTGACAGAAGAAATTTCTAAGCAGCAAAGTATTCAAGATGTGACCTGGCTTATTCCAAAAGTGCTCAGTTATATGACTTCCCAAAGAGATGGTTTGAAATGTGAACATGTTTAAAAAGGAAGCAGAGCAGAAAGGTTTGAAAAATTTGCAGCCTGACCATGTGGTAGAAATGAAAAACCCATTTTCTGGGGGAGGAATTCAAGCCTGCTGCAGAAATCTGCATCACAAGTAAAGAGGAGCTAAATGTTAATAGCCCAGACATGGCAGCTCCTCCCTTCACAGGCCCAGAAGCTTACGAGGGAAAAATGGCTTCGTTTGCTGGACCCAGGGCCCTGCTGCTCTGTGCAGGTTCCAGTCTTGGTACCCTGTGTCCCAGCCACTCCAGCTCCAGCCGTGGCTAAAAGGTGCCTATATACAGCTCAGGCTGTTGCTACAGAGGGTGCAAGCCCCAAGCCTTGGCAGCTTCCACTTGCTGTTTTGCCTGGGGGTGCACAGAAGACAAGAGTTGAACTTGGGGAGCCTATGCCTAGATTTCAGAGGATGCATAGAAATGCCTGTATGTCTGGGCAAAAGTGCTACAGCATTGGAGCTCTGACGGAAAACCTCTACTAGAGCAATGCAGAGGGAAAATGTGCAGTTGGAGCCCTCATACAGAGTACCACTGGGGCACTGCCTAGTGGAACTGTAAGAAAAAGGCCACAATCTTCCAGACCCCAGAAAGGTAGATCCACCAACAGCTTGCACCATGCACCTGAAAAAGCCACAGGCACTCAACACCAGCCTATGAAAACATCTTCAGGGGCTGCACGCTGCAGAGACATAGGGGCAGAGCTGCCCGAGGGTGTGGGAGCCCACCCCTTGCATTAGCCTGCCCTGGATATGAGACACAGAGTCAAAGGAGATTTTGGAGCTCTAAGATTTAATGACTGCACAGCTGGGTTTCAGACTTTCAAGGGGCCTGTGTCACCTTTGTTTTGGCCAATTTCTCCCATATGAAGTAGAAACATTTACCAAATGCCTTTACCCACATTGTATCTTGGAAATAACTAACTTGCTTTTGATTTCACAGGCTCATAGGCAGACGGGACTTGCCTTGTCTCAGATGAGCCTTTGGACTTGGAGTTGTGAGTCAATGCTGGAATGAGTTAAGACATTAGGGGACTGTTGGGAAGGCATGATTGGTTTTGAAATATGAAAAGGACATGAGATTTTGGAGGGACCAGGAGCAGAATGAAATAGTTTGGCTCTGTATCCACACCCAAATCTTATCTCAAATTATAATCCCTGCATGTCAAGGGGGGAACCTGTTGGGAGTTGATTGGATCATGGGGACAGTTTCCCTCATCCTGTTATGATGATAGTGAGGGAGCTCTCATGAGATCTGATGGTTTTAAAAGTGGCAATTTTCACCTATGTGTGTTCTCTCTCTCTCTCCTGCCACCACGTAAGACGTGCCTTATTCCTTTTCACCTTCGGCCATGATTATAAGTTTTCTGAGGCTTCCCCAGCCATGGGGAACTGTGAGTCAATTAAACCTCTTTCCTTTATAAATTACCCATTCTCAGGTAGTATCTTTATATTAGTGTGAAAACGGACTAATTAATATACCAGGTCAGCACACTTTCTATAATAAGCCACATAGCAAATATTCTAGCCTTTGCAATTTAGATAGATTCTATCCTTACTATTCAAATAGCCACTGTAGGACAGCCAAGGGCACTATGCAAATAAATGGGTATGGCTGTGTTCCAATAAAACTTGATTTACAATAATTAATAACAGACTAGGTTTGATCCTTGGGCCTTGGTTTGCTTATCTTGTATATGTTGTCATGGAAAGAGTTGTATACCCTTTTTGGAAAAAGCCATTGCAATGATTCTTAATAAGAATGATATGTTGTTTGGCTAACTTGTGAAATGATCTTGCTCAATCTAGCATGATTATTTGGAATAATGTATAGCCCAGAGTCAAGATTTGCCCTTCTTAAAGAAATTAAAAAGAAAAAATCCTACCTCCTTGGATTCAGAAACTGAAATAAATATCCTGGAAGTCATAATTAGATACACATATTTCACAAAGAGAAAGAATTTATATGAATAGTCACCTATGAACTTTAGATATATATTCTGTTGTTTAATCACATGGTTTTTAACTTAGAATAATAAAATAATAGAAATAATGCTTTTACTTCAATAAGCAGAAAGATGGGTTCAGGGAGGTTAAGTGACTTTTATGGTCATAGCTAGTGTTTTCATTTAGTTGAATTATCAACTTATTTGTTTCCAGTTTAAAAATAATCCTATTGACACTAATTTACCCTAACCCTTCTGGAGATACTCATACTTGTCATTAAGTCTTGGTTTCTGTTTGTTGATACAGTAAAGCCAACCCTATTAACATTTGTAAAACTAACCTTTAGGTTACTTTTGGCAATTTAAAAGTAAACAGGCTTCCAAATTAACCTGTCTTGGGAGGTGGTGTGATTCATAATGACATCCTTTCCTTAGGGTGAAGAAAACCTTAGGATAAAAAATATTTTCTACATGCCTGTAGTCCCAGCTACTCAGGAGGATGAGGCAGGAGAATGGCTTGAACCCGGGTGATGGAGGTTGCAAGGTTGCAGTGAGCCAGGATCGCGCCACTGCACTCCAACCTAGGTGACAGAGCGAGACTCCATCTCTCAAAAAAAAAAAAAAAAATTCTGAGTTCCTCAAATTGCGTATATACTGATTCATGCATAAACAGCTAATATTGAGAAAGACGCTGATTTGTTTCTGAATCACGAAGTTTTACTGATTGTCTTACCTATAGACATTTTAGCCTATATGTTACAATCTGTAGCCAATGATTGTAACCTCCATATTGTGCCCTCCAGTGAAACAAGAGAACTTCAATATGAGGAGCACCCCTCTCTTCTTCTAAACATTCTTAAAAAAGAAAAAAAAATGAAAAAAGAAAGCTCAGCTTCTATTTTAGGTTCAGAAGGTACATCTGGAGGTTTGTTACATGGTAAGATTGGGTGACACTGAGGTTTAGGGTACTAATGATGATCCAGTCTCCCAGGTAGTAAGCATAGTACCCAACAGGTAGTTTTTCATCCCTTGTCCCCCCTCTCTTTCTTCCCTCTACTAGTCTCACATATCTATTATTTCCACTTTTATTACCATTTGTTCCCAATATTTGGTTTCTACTCCAAGTGAGAACATGTGGTATTTGGTCTTCTGTTCCTGATTTAATTTGCTTAGGATAATATCCAGCTGCATCTATGTTGCTGCAAAGCATATGATTTCATTCTTTTGTATGGCTGTGTAGTATTCCGTGGTGTTTATGTACCACATATTATTTATCTAATTCACCGTTTATGGGCACCTAAGTTGATTCCACGTCTTTGCTATTGTGAATAGTGCTGCAGTAAACATACAAGTGTGTATGTCTTTTTGACAGAATGATTTATTTTCCATTGGGTTTTTTCCTAGTAATGGGATTTTTGGAGTTGAATGTTAGTTCTAAGTACTTTTTTTTTTTTTTTTTTTTTTGAGACGGAGTCTCGCTGTTGCCCAGGCTGGAGTGCAGTGGCGCGATCTCGGCTCACTGCAGGCTCCGCCCCCTGGGGTTCACGCCATTCTCCTGCCTCAGCCTCCCGAGTAGCTGGGACTACAGGCGCCTGCCACCTCGCCCGGCTAATTTTTTGTATTTTTAGTAGAGACGGGGTTTCACCGTGTTAGCCAGGATGGTCTCGATCTCCTGACCTCGTGATCCGCCCGCCTCGGCCTCCCAAAGTGCTGGGATTACAGGCGTGAGCCACCGCGCCCGGCCCTAAGTACTTTTTGAGCTTTGTATATGTGGTATCAATTCAGTTGTTTCATTGTATTGTTCTCTAAGCTTCATTCATGGTGATACACAAAGCTGTTCTTCATTGTTGTTTACTCAAGTATAAAGCTTTCTATTATAAATGACATATGCTTTTTCCATTCTCTTGTTTGTAGATTGTTTTATTACCTTTTGTTTATCTTTGGACTTGTTATGAACGATAAATATTTTTATAACCTATGACTATGTATTATTTTCTGGGGCTTCTTATACACTTGTTTAAAAGTATCTAGTAAAAATATCTACCTAGTAGTGGAAGTGTTGATAGTTGGGATGTGCATATTTAGTTTTACATAATACTTATCAACTTGCAGTCCATAGTAGTTGTATCAGTTGATTTTTCATTAGCAGTGTATTAGGGTCTACGCTGTTACATTTCTTCACAGATGCTAATATTATCTGACAAAATTATCGCTGCCAGATGTGGTGGTTTGAATTTTTTTCATTAAGGTTTTATTTAACAAATCCCTAATTACTGACTAGGTTGACATTTTTAATGTATTTATTAAATATTATTGCATTTTTTTCAGGGAAATGTCTATATTTTTGCCATTGTCTATCTTATGTCAATTGTCTTTCTGCTTTTCCTGTATGTTTTAGTCCATTTGTGCTGCTGTAACAAAATATGGTAGACTGAGTAATTTATAAAGAACAGAAATTGTATTTCATCAGAGTTCTGGGGGCTGGAAAGTCCAAGGTCAAGGCACCAGCAGGTTAGGTTTTCTGGTGAGCACTGCTTTCTTTTTCCAAGATGGGGCTTTGATGTTGCATCAGGCATCAAGACATGGGAATCCTGTGTCCTCACATGGTGGAAGGGAGAAGGCCACACAACACAGGAATCCCATGTCCTCACATGGCAGAAGGCAGAAGAACAAATACTGTGTGAAGAAGGCCCTTTATAGGAGCCTTGATCCCAGTCATCAGAAAAGCACACTCAAGACCTTATCACCTCTTAAATGCTCTACCTCTTAATACTATCATATTGGCAATGTTTGAATTTTCTATGGGACACATTCAAACCAAAGCAATGTACACAACGTTATTGTATAATATATACTACAATTATTTTTCGATTATATGCATTGAAATATCTTCTCCAAAGTTGTATTTTTTGCCTGCTATTTAATGGTGTTTTTAATATACAGAAGCTTATAATATTAATATGGTAAAATATATATATACATGTACATGCACACATATGTCTGTGTGTGTAAGTAACAAAACATTTTTGGAAAAAAAATTAAGATTGAACCAGAAAGAAGAAAAGTAAGAAGAAACTTTTAAATTTATTTTTAGAATTTTACAATGTGCAGCAAATCTGAATTTTATAATAGCTAAGAAAAATGTATACAGTCAGTTAAGTTTCCAAATCCTGAAGGCTTTTCAAGAACTAAATTTACATTTCTAGGCACAAGATTAAAGAATTTAATTAATGCTTAAATAATGATCCACCAATACCTATTAATATGCATTTCCATTATTTTTTAAGGAAATTAATAATTTTACTTTCAGTTTTCAAGGTTTATTTCCTGTATTTCAGTCCAAGAAGTATCTTCTACTTCACTTCAGCTCCTGTATATTTAATATGTGGGTTATTAAACATTTTTTTCTGATAAAAATATATATTTCTAATGGAAAAAATATATATCTTTTAACTATTTAAAAATTTTTATTTTTCACATAAAACTGATGCTCATGTGGAGTACTCTTTATATGCTTCAAGAATGTTTGAACACTGTCTTAGTAGATTGTACTACATGGAATCTGAGGCAAGAAAAACTTCTCGATCATTCATGTTTTCTCATTCTTTCTTCTCTTTTTTTCGCTCCTGCCCTCCATTCGTTCCCAGAATTGAAAGCCTTCTTTTTCTTTTCTCTTATCCTACTACATTTTCTTTTCTTTCCTTAAAGTATTGACAGTCCCCCAGAATAGAGCTTACTTTCTCAAAAGGAAAGATTTTATCTTGCAAAAACATGATGTGAACATGCAATTAGAAAGATTTAAATTATAAATTCAAATTTAGTCTCAGAAATATCTTTGTTTTTGACATTTGAAGTATCCTAAGTTTAAAATTTCCGGGTCTATTAAATCAAATGTTGATAGTAATAATAAAATTTCTTTATGATTAATGAGATATCAAAAGTAAACATTTAATATTTATAGAGTTAATTCACTTAGGTGTGTCAAGAAAATATGCTATGAAATATTTCTATATATGCCAATTAGTTATTGACTTGCATTATATTGAAACTTATGCCAATCACAACATTGTGTTTCAGAAAGGTAATTTTTTTATGCGAATTAACTGTATTGATGAATCCATTATCTATAAGGAACAGAGAAGGGAATTTTTTGTATTGAGTTCCTATAAAAACTTTGCTTATAGTTTGAATGTTTATGAAACATTTTTAAGCTAGCAACTATTTTAACATATTTTATTGGAAAGAAAGGACCTATATAAAATATCATGAGGGTCAAGAGAAGACTAAGATACTGAATCGTCTTTGTCCTGTCAAAATTAAAATGTCAGTGATTATGGTAGTGATCAATAACATTAACACACGTAGTGGTTTTAAAATTTTGAGTTTTATAGTTTTCTTCAGTTGTGCCTAGAAATGAAGAAACTTATAATGTGGGGTCCCTTAAAGTTCCCCTTTCAGCCATAAGATTCCACTTTCTTCTGTATTATAGATTGGTCATAAAATTGAGTTATTTTATTAAATAAATGATTCTGTAGATATTAATAAATTATTTCCAATACAATAAAAATAAAATTGATATGAATTCATTAAAACATAATACTTAGTTTATAAAATAAATGAATGGACAAAATATTTGAAACTTCCACTTTAGTGCAGGCTACATCTCATAAGAATAAACTCATAATTTTTTTCTCTATAGTTGTTATTTTCTGGTTAGATCAATCCATCTTTCATTTCATTTTTAAAATTGTTATAGAAATAACTATTAAATTCCAGTTCATCTACTGAATTTATTACATAATATGATATCAGACTGCATAATATCACCGTAAAAATTGTTTCACCAGGTTATCTCAGCAGTTGCACATTTCAATAATCTCACTGGCCGATTTTTATAAAGACAGTTTAAAAGCCAGTTAGTGGAATCAAACAATTGTTTACTTTGATATACGAGTGAAAGTAATCCACTTGAACGAGTAGCATGTGCAGACACAGTTAAAAATTCAGTTTTAGTATGTCAGTTTCATTACTACTGTCAAATAAAAAGACAATAACTCTTATTTTATAGGGATTTGGCATTTTGCATACATTTAACTATGCTTGTGTAATTATTCCACCCTGAAATGTAGAGAGTAGAAGATGGGACCTTTAAACACATCCCTTTCCCAAGTAAGAAATAATAATCAGTAAAGCAAAACTACCTATTTACTAAACAGTGACCAATGATTAAGTCTTTTCTTTCTTTTTTTTTCTTTGAGGCGAGGGCTCACTCTGTAGCCCAGGCTGGAGTGCAGTGGCGGATATAGGCTCACTGCAACCTCCGCCTCTCAAGTTCAAGTGTTTTCCTGCCTCCATCTCCCGAGTAGCTGGGATTACAGGCATGCACCAACATGCCCGGCTAATTTTTGTATTTTTAGTAGAGATGGGTTTTCACCACGTTGGCCAGTCTGGTCTGGAACTCCTGACCTCAGGTGATCTGCCCACCTTGGCCTCCCAAAGTGTTGGGATTACAGGCATAAGCCACTGCACCTGGCCTGATTAAGTCTTTTCTAAAATAAGAGCATGCATACATACATGGAGGAAAAAAAAACATACTTTTTAAATTTATTTTTTACTTTTTTTGAGACAGAGTCTCGCTCTGTCGCCCAGGCTGTAGTGCAGTGGCGCGATCTCTGCTCACTGCAAGCTCCGCCTCCCAGGTTCACGCCATTCTCCTGCCTTAGCCTCCTGAGTAGCTGGGACTACAGGCGCCCACCACCACTCCTGGCTTTTTTTTTTTTTTTTTTGTATTTTTAGTAGAGACGGGGTTTCACTGCGTTAGCCAGGATGGTCTCGATCTCCTGACCTCGTGATCTGCCCGCCTCGGCCTCCCAAAGTGCTGGGATTACAGGCGTGAGCCACCGCGCCTGGCGAACAAACATACTTTTTATGTTTCATTAACTTTTACGTAATTCCTATTTGTGTCTTTGTGAAGTTTCTTATAACATGTCTGCTAACTGACATCTGTAGATGTTAAAATAAGTCATTTCTAAATTATCTAATCATTTTCTAACAAATTTACACATAAACCATGATAAGAATCATAAAGCAATAGAAACAGATTTTCTTTCTTACTCTTCTCAAATTTTGGAACAAAAGAATCCCTCTTCATTTGTTGTTTTCATTTTCTAATAGTCAGCAGTTCCTGCCACAGCAACAATGATAGGAGCAGTGTTAGTCTTGAATTCTGAAGGATTTCCAAAGTCATGAAATTGCTGTGGATTGTGCAAATTAAATTATGTATTCTAAAATCACTGAAAGGTCAAACTGTTGGGATATAAGAACTATAAGGCTGGAGAAAGAGAAACAGAGGCCATCGTGATGCTACAGTTTAATTTTCTTCTTTCCTGGAAGCACAAACTTACTTGCAATATTGATGAGGGGAAAAAAGCTCAAGAGCCATTGCAAAGCACCAAGGAGGAAATTATGGGGCTGATTTGCTGCTCTAGGAAGAGTCTTAAAGTTAATACGAATCCATATAAAAAGGGCAATAAGATGTCAAATCCAAACTAAATGCTAGTATCATTTTTAACTCACTGTAATGCAATAAATTTTAGTTATTTCTACTGAGTATAGTCATGGAAGTCAGCAAAGGCTATTACCATATACTTCTGTATCCATTGTCGTATGTCAGCAGCCCATATGTCACTATCTAAACAGATTCAAATACTCTATGTGATCTCAGAGAAAAAATGTTAATGGTATTTTTACACATATACACATTACATAAAATCTTACAAATAGATGTATAGGTGCGCATAGGAAAAGTATTAGGTGTACCACTCTGAAATGTTTATAAAAATAAACAATATGTAGTAAATAATACACTTAATTTTAGTAAATCAGATGTTTTATATTGCAAAATATAAAGGAAAACCTAAATTAACTTCTAAAAGTTTTAGTAGAAAATATATGATTTTGAAGAATAAACTAAGAATCCTGGAAGAATCAAATAAATGTCTTGAAAAGAAAAATCAGATATTCATTAGGGGACTCTATAATAAAAGATGATTTTTGAGAGCAAAAGTATATGAATGAACCATCTCTACATAATAATTTGAGGAGATATTTCTTTTGTAATGTGTTTGTAGAACATAAAGACTTTCCTTATGTATATGAGAAAATAGAAATGGCACAGTCATGAATTTCATTCTAAAACTTCTCCCTACCCCCACTACTAATGTATCATCTGATAATTTTTCTAAGATAAGTGGATATATGTTAGAATTGCATCTTTTCTTTTTAAATATTTTCTTCTATCTAGACCTAAAGTTTTGCAACAAACAAAACATGAAGAATGGTGTAAATATGTTTTCTTCATGTGTAGAATGAGAATGATAGTATAATTATAAGGTGGAAGGCCATACTTTGTCCATAGGGTTACTGTAAGTCAAAAATGGAAAATCAACTACAACAACAAAAACATGTATGATGTTCTTAGCAGAGTGCTGGGCGCAGAACAAATATTTAATAAATGCCAGTATTATTTTTCAAATCAGTATTTCCAATTAACATCTCATTTTCTGTTTAACATGCAGTTTTTTGTGCATGTGTGTGTGTGTGAGTGTGTGTGTGTGTGCATGCACATGTTCATTTTGTAGCAAAAATTTCTAAGGCCAATTTTCAGCAGCCACTTGGAATATTGAAATTATAACTAGATTTAGAGTCAGGTTTAGTAAAGCAACTACTAAATATCAAGCATAGCAGCTAGCTCCTAGAGACAGATTCTGAGAAAAACAAAAAAGACACAATTCCTGGCCTAGATGGCAAAACAGCTCAGATAGCAAAGTCCAGCACAGCGCTGCCCAGGAGAGGGGCACCTTGCCTGGCTGGGAGGAGGCAAGAGCAAAACTAGAAAAAGTTCCTGGATGAGGTGAAATCTCATCCTAAATTGTGAAGATTGGCTGGGGGAAAAGGGAGGAATATTTTAGGCCGAGAGAGCACATGGATGAAGGGTGAAGACACAAGATTGTGTTACAGTTAATTTGCATACTAACTCCCAATTCTCTCAATTTCTGTGCAAGTCATTTAATGCTTTGAATGAGCTTTCTCACTATGAATAGAAAATACTATAATGTATGAGCTAGTTCTTCCTAGCAGTTTTCTTGAGGGAGTGATCAGTTGAAATATTATGTGCATAGGTGTTCTATCTAAGATTCCAGTGAGAATATTAATTATAATATTTATATGGTTAATATTTTTGGTAGAAAAGTTATTTATTCAGTGAATTGTTATTGAATTACTGCTGAAGTATTTAAGGTTTACTGAGTTCTTACATTATGCTTATTCATTATGGTATTATCTCATTTGGTTTCCACAACCATTCTACGGGCAGACTATTTAATTGCTCAAGGACACCCAGCTAAAATTCGGAAAATCCCAAATTTAAACTCATTAGTCTGGCACCACAGCCCATAAACTCAACTCCGAACCTTACACTCTCACAATATATTATCTATTATTTGGTATACTCTGTGTCTAGTGCCAGGGATTGAAGCTCCTTGCCTTTAAGAAGCACATGTACACTCGTATGGGCCCCCAGATAAGTAAATGGTAATTATGGTAAAAGAAGTGATTGGTATTATCAGGTATGAATGAAGGATGTCTGATGTGAATCAGAGATCTGAAAAGGCTTATTTAAGGATGTGATATAGAAGCTGAAAACACGAAAGATGTTTTGCCAGTATCAGCGAAGAACTTGGGAAGGACATTTCAGGCAGAAAGCCTGAGGGTAACATACCTGACCATTCATCCCTGTTTGTCTGAGAACGTCCTACTTTGTGCCTGATGTTCTGGTGCAATTATTAATAACACCCACTTTAACTCTCAGAAGTATCCTGGTTGAGACGATAAATTATATAGCCACCCTACCTAAGGGCAGGGACAGAGAGTTGTGAGAAAACATAGCATATTTGGCAAAATGCGAGCAATTTATCATGGCTAGAATTCAGAATGTGAGATGGGAATTGTGAAAGATTAGAGAGCCTGGGTATAAAGTATGAAGGGCCTTGCTCCTCAGGCTAGGGAAGTTAGTTTCACTTTAAAGGTGATGGGATGTCACTAAAAGGTTTTAAATAAAGGAGATAGTGTGGTTCTATGATGCTTTGAAAGATCACTGGCATTATTAAGAAGAATATATCTGTATGATGCAAGATTAGTAGGAGGGGGAAAAAGACCTTCATGTAGCACATATTATTCAGAGTCCAACTATGTTCTGGTGTCTTTCTAGGTTCTTAGGACACGTCAGTGAACAAATTGTGTGAGATCCCTCTCCTCCTGGTGCCTTCATTCTAGTAGGGAGAGGCACAGTAACAATAACCATAATAAATTAGCAAACGTAGATCAGGGTGAGAGGGATCAGGGCCATGTTGTAATATTTAAAAAGGTGATGAGGGAAGAATTTAAATTTTATATTTCAGCAAAGATCTGAAGATACTGAGGGAATCAGCTATTCAGATATGTGAGAGGTGTGGTAACTAAAGGGCATAGCTAGTGTAAATTCCCTGAGGTGAGAATGTGAGTGGGAATCCCAAAGATCAGTAAGGTCGCTGATGTAGTTGGATCAGGAACAGCAAGGAGTAGATGAGGATCCCAGACAGGCAGTGAGGGACCAGAACACTTAGGACATTTCAAGCCATCTTTAAGAAATTTGAGTTTTACTCCAAGTGGCACAAGAAGCTGTTGCAAACCTTTAAGGAGAGGAATGGCATACTATGATTTAACTTTTACAAAGATTGCTCCAGCTGATGCTTTGAAAACAAAGTTTAGGGGACAATCAGTGTTCACAAAAGACCAGTCAGGATGCTATTACAGAAATTCAGATCAGAGATGTTCTGTAGGCAAGAGTGTGCATGGCAAGTGGAGACAGTAAAAAAGCATTGAATGTGAACCTAGTCGCATACAAGATTGAATTGAAGCCAAAAGAAATGAAAGAAGAGAAAGATGCTTTACAAAGTAAAGGTCAGATTTCTCATGTGGTATAAATGATTTTGAAGATCTTTGGGCCATATTAAAAAATGTATATATTTCTTACAATCAGATGCTACAGAAAATACATAGAGAGACTGACAAAATATATTAAAAATAGATTTTAATGCTCTTAGTTTAAGACATGTCAAACATACAAGTGCTATTAAGTGTCCTGGGAAAAACTTAACTGTGCTTCAAAATTCAAATTCAAAATCAAATTACATTACTTTTTTAAAAAAAAAGTTTGTATGGTAGCAACAAACACCATAAACAATATTTAAAAAGAGGTGTCAAACTGGGAGACTATTTGCAATACAGATTATGTGCAAAAGGGTAATCTCTCCAGTATACAAATCATTCTTATTTATTTATTTATTTGAGACAGGGTCTTACTTTGTCACCTAGGCTGGAGTGCAGTGGCACTATCATGGATCACTGAAGCTTCGGCTTCCTGGTCTCAATCAATCCTCTCACCTCAGCCTTCTGAATAGCTGGAATTATAGGCATGCATCACCATGCCCATCTGGTTTTTGTATTCTTTTGTAGACACAGGTTTTTACCATGTTGCCCAGGCTGGTCTCAAACTGCCGGACCTAAGCGGTCTCTTCCCCAGGTCCACTCAAATTTCTAGGATTACAGGAATGAGCCATTCACACGTCCTAAAAATAATTCTTATAATTTGATAGCAAAAATAACTCTCAAAGCCTGATAGAAAAATGGGCAAAAGCCATGAACAAACAATTCACAAAAACAGATACACAACTAACTGTTAAACTTATGAAAATATTCTGGATTCTCCTCATAAGAGAAAAAAATAAAAAACTAATACTGTTGTTGCTTTTTACCTATCATATTGGCAAAAATTAATTGATGTCAGATACCATAGTGTCAATATTGTGATTTCCCCACCAGTTCCAATTCTGAGCCTATTTTTAGATCAAGGTCTTGCTGATCTAAAAGGAGATTCTTGATGGAGGACCTGACAAAGACACTTCAAGAACAGTTAATAATAATGTAAGGTAATTGAAACTTGCTAAGAAAGTCAACCTTGATTATATCATCACAAATAGACACACAAAATAGAAACTATATGAAGTGATAGGTTAATTAGGTTAACAAGTTTGGTTTTGTTAATTATTTCAGTGTATACATATATCCAAACATCACATTGTACACCTTAAATATATACAATTTTTATATATCAATTATACCTCAATAAATTTGAGCAGGGAAAAAAGAATGTACAGTAAGTGTTTCCCCATTTGTAAATTTGATCTGTGTAAGCAGCAGATGATAGCAGTCTTTATTTCCTTTATTTTCTTTGGTTCACCTCTTATTTCAGTAGCAGCAATGATGAACTGCTCTATGTAAGTCAGGCTTATCTCAAACTTACAGCACAACACCAGAGGCACAGATACACTTTTCTGCCTCTCGTCCTTCTCTAATGCCGTAGGAGCCTCCTTAACTCATATGCACTTCAGCCCGGAAGTACTGGAGTTAATGTTCTTGGGGTGCCCTCAATGAACAGGAGGTAGGAGCTAAAGGATTAATTAGCCTTTCAAGCAGAGAATTCTGTAAAGCAACTGTACATTTCAGGATGTCTGGCAGAGTCCCTTCTGTTGCACACAGCAGTAAAAATAAAAATGCACTCTTGAATTGTGTTTTCATCCTCCCCTGACTCACTCTTCTAGGTCTCTTACTTTAGCTTCTTGGGATTAATTCCCAAAGGAACTACTAAACCTCCACAGCAGGATTTTAAGGGGAGCCCCCCAAAACACTCTTCATAGTCTACCTTCATTTTGTCCTTTTAGAAAACTCTTTTTCACTATAACAAAACTGAAAACTTTTAATATCTAGGCCTAAACAGAAAAAGTATGCTGTTCCTTGTTCTAGATGAATTTTCCTAATTTGTTTTACATCCCTATATAAGCATAAGGAATGAATTTTATTACCTTTATTGTACCATTTTCGCTCTCTGAAAGAGAGAGAAATAGAGAGACAGGCTCAAATAGGCATATCTTAAAAATAACAAAAACAAATGGGCAACAGGTATATGAAATAAATGTTCAATGTCATTATCATCAGAATTATATATAGAGAGAGAGAGACAGTGAGAGATTTATATTTATTATGTTAAAAACATTTAATATGAGACCAACCCTCTTCAAAAATTTCTAAGTGTACAATAACTAATTGTTGACTATAAGTACAATGTCGCACAGCAGACCTGTAAAGTTTATTTATTTTGCTTCATATAAATTTTATGCTGATTGAGTAGTGATCCTCATTTCCCCCTCCTCTCAGCCTCTGGTTACTACCATTCCACTCATTGATTCTATCCATTTGACTATTTTAGAGACCTGGTATGACTGGACTTATGCAGTATTTGACTTTCCACAGATGGCTTTCAACACCCCCTTCATGTTAAAAACTCTCAATAAACTAGGCATTGATGGAACATATCTCAAAATAATAAGAGCTATTTATGACAAATACACAGCCTATATCATGCTGAATAGGCAAAAACTGGAAGCGTTCCCTTTGAAAACCAGCTCAAGACCAGGATACCCTCTCTCACTACCATTGAACATACTATTGGAAGTTCTGGCCACGGCAGTCAGGTGAGAGAAAGAAAGAAAGGGTATTCAGTTAGGAAAAGAGGAAGTCAAATTGTCTCTGTTTGCAGATGACATGTTTGCTTATTTGGAAAACCCCGTAGTCTCAGCCCAAAATCTTCTTAAGCAGATAAACAACTTCAGCAAAGTGTCAAGATACAAAATCAATGTGCAAAAATCACACGCATTCCTATCCACCAGTAACAGACAAACAGCAAAATCATGAGTGAACTCCCATTCACAATTGCTACAAAGAGAATAAAATACCTAGGAATAGAACTTACAAGGGATGTGAAGGAACTCTTCAAGGAGAACTACAAACCACTGCTCAAGGAAATAAGAGAGGACACAAACAAATGGAAAAACATCCATGCTCATGGATAGGAAGAATCAATATCATGAAAATGGCCATACCGCCCAAAGTAATTTACAGATTCAATGCTATACCAATCAAGCTACCATTGCCTTTCTTCACAGAATTGAAAAAAAAAACTACTTTAAATTTTATATGGAACTAAAAAGAAGCCCACATAGCCAAGACAATCCTAAGCAAAAGGCACAAAGCCGGAGGCATCACGTTACTTGACTTCAAACCATACTACAAGGCTACAGTAGCCAAAACAGCATGGTACTAGTATCAAAACAGATATAGAGAACAATGGAACAGAACAGAGGCCTCAGAAATGACACCACACATCTATAACTATGTGATCTTTGAAAAACCTGACAAAAACAAGCAATGGGGAAAGAATTCCCTATTTAATAAATGGTGTTGGGAAAACTGGCTAGCCATATGCTGAAAAGTGGAACTGAACCCCTTCCTTATACCTTATAGAAAAATTAACTCAAGATGGATTAAAGACTTAAACCATCAAAACCCTAGAAGAAAACCTAGGCAATAAGGACATAGGCATGGGCAAAGGCTTCATGAGTAAAACACCAAAATCAATGGTAACAAAAGCCAAAATTGACAAACGGGATCTAATTAAACTAAAGCACTTCTGGGCAGCAAAATAACCTATGATCAGAGTGAACAGGCAACCTACAGAATGGGAGAACATTTTTGCAATCTATCTAAAAGGGCTAATATATAGAATCTACAAAGAACTTAAACAAATTTACAAGAAAAAAACAAAAACAACCCTATCAAAAAGGGGGCAAAGGATATGAACAGACACTTCTCAAAAGAAGACATTTATGCAGTCAACAAACATATGCAAAAAAGCTCATCATCACTGGTCTTTAGAGAAATTCAAATCAAAACCACAATTAGATACCATCTCATGCCAGTTAGAATGGTGATCATTAAAAAGTTAGGAAACCACAGATGCTGGAGAGGATGTGGAGAAATAGGAATGCTTTACACTGTTGGTGGGAGGGTAAATTAGTTCAAACGTTGTGGAAGACCGTGTGGTGATTCCTCAAGGATCTAGAACTAGAAATACCATTTGACCCAGCAATCCCATTACTGGGTATATACCCAAAGGATTATAAATTGTTCTACACATGCATATGTATGTTTATTGTGGCACTATTCACAATAGCAAAGACTTGGAACCAATCCAAATGCCCATCAATGATAGACTGGATAAAGAAAATGTGGCACATATACACCATGGAATACTATGCAGCCATAAAAAAGGATCAATTCATGTCCTTTGTAGGGACATGGATGAAGCTAGAAACCATCATTCTCAGCAAACTAACACAAGAACAGAAAACCAAACACCTCATGTTCTCACTCATAAGTGGGAGTTGAACAATGAGAACCACATGGGCACAGGGAAGGGAACATCACACACCGGGGCCTGTTGGGGGGTGGGGGGTTAGGGGAGGGATAGTATTAGGGGAAATATCTAATGTAGATGACTGGTTGATGGGTGCAGCAAACCACCATAGCACGTGTATACTTATGTAACAAAACTGCACGTTCTGCAGGTGTATCCCAGAACTTAAAGTATAATAATAATAAAAAAGAATGATTTCTTTAAGCTTCATCTGTTTTGTTTCATATTGCAGAATTTCCTTCATTTTTTAAGCAGAATAAATAACATTTTGTTTTCTTTATCCATCATCTGCTGATAGACATTTAGATTATTTCCACATTTTAGCTATTGTGAATAGTGCTCCAACAAACATAAGAATTCTAATATTGCTTTGAGATCCATTTTCAACTCTTTTGGATAAATACTCAAAAGTGGGAACATATGGTAGTTCTATTTTTATTTTTTTGAGAAACCTCCATGCTATTTTCATAGCAGCTGAACCATTTTGCAATTCCTCCAACAGCGTGAAAGGTTTCAATTTCTCCATATTCTTGAATACACTTTTTGTCTTTTGTTTTTTGATAGTGTCTATTTATCCTGTCAGCTATAAGATGATATATTGTAGTTTTGATTTGCATTTATCTGATGATTAATGACATTGTGCATTTTTTAAATATACCTGTTGACCATTTGTATGTTTTTTAAAGAAATGCCTGTTCAAGTCCATTTTTATTGGGTTATTTTATCTTATTGACTTGTAGGAATTCCTTATATATTTTGGAAATATTTTTATTATCAGATATTTGGTTTGTAAATATTTTCTCCCATTTCAGAGGCTGCCTTTTCAAATTCTGTGGCTTATGTCCTTTGCAATGCAAAGACTTTGTAGTTTGATGTAGTCCCACTTGTTTATTTTCATTTTTGTTGCCTGTGCTTTTGGTGTCATATTGATAAAATCATTGCCAAGACCAAACTCATGAAGTATTTTCACTGTTTTCTTGTAAGCATATCACAGTTTCAGGTCTTACGTTTCAGTTTTTAATGTGTTTTGAGGCATTGCACATTCTAATTTCAAAATATATTACAAAGCTATAATAATAAAAAAACTACATTACAGACATAAAGACATATAAACCAAAGGTGCAGAATGAGAGCCCAGAAATAAAGGTAATAAAGCACTCCTGTGACCAATTTAATAAGTGCAAAATTTTGCCACTTCATGTCACAAAAATTTGCAGTAGTGCCTATCAAGCATGGAGAATTATAAGCCAGAAGATAGGAAGCTTTGAAAGTATAGTTGGAGGAAGGCCTAATACATGTAATAATGAAATCAATATTTGCTGAGTGCTTCAGAAGTGCTACACCTTGCACTAGACCACTTTACAAGCATTAGCTCATATAATTCTCACCTCACTCTGACATACTTGCTAAGTTCACTTTGGCTAGTAAGTTGCCAAATTCTTCAGTGTAATTATTGCTGATTGTTAAAATATTTGCTATGATGCAAAACATATTTTTATGAGATATTATTTTACTCTATAGTAGTTTATATCATTTTATACTGACATCAGAAAATAAAATTTAATTACCACTCTCAGTCACGTTGCTGGTATCATGTACGTTTTCTGTGTAGCCATTAGTGACTCAAACTGACACTATCATAACATTTCTAAAAATGCAGACTCGTTGTGATCCCATAAGGCAGCTGCAGGAGTGTATGCATTTCCTATCCTGGCATGGCCTTGGCTAGTTGCCTCCTCTGACTAGGATCCTCTCGTTATCCACATGCTGATGGTGTGAGATGATGAGTGCATGTACCTAATTAGAGAATTTCCAGCAATGTGGAGAAAATGAATCAGGAGCTCTATATCATTTCTCAGATTCTGGCTATATGTGGTGGACAGGATATAATTTTTCTATGCTGATAAAAAATGCAACTTCTTTTCCTTGAAAGTAGAAGACCAATTTTTACGTATGACACCTGAGACCATTTGAAATAAAATTTTGAAAACCAGAGAACAATTTGGCTGCCTCAACTTCTTGGCTAGAATGCACTATCATAGAATTTAGATTCTTTCCTTGGGGACATACCTCTAGATTTGAAGAAACTTGGATAGCAAGGAATTAGAGTGATACCACAGCTTTAAATACCAGCATGAAGATGTGAATTTTTCTAATCTTATCAACTTCTCAGTACATGAGGACATTAATGATACAGCTTGAAAATGGGGGTAAATGAATCCCCAAATTTGTAACCCACAAGACAGTGACCTTATATAAAACAAATACGAGCATACTTACTTTGAAGAAATGTTCCTATGCATATCAAATGACTTTTGGATACCTGAGTGAATGAGTTAATGATATGACCAAATCTAAATCTTAGGAAACTGTAGTTGCAGGGAGTCCTTTTCAGAAAACTAATTAATGAGTAAAATATTCATAGTAAAACATACTCATGTCAATAGAAAAAGATATTCTCTGGAAGTCTCGCTCTGTCACCCAGGCTGGAGTGCAGTGGCGGGATCTCGGCTCACTGCAAGCTCCGGCTCCCGGGTTCACGCCATTCTCCTGCCTCAGCCTCCCAAGTAGCTGGGACTACAGGCGCCCGCCACTACGCCCGGCTAATTTTTTGTATTTTTAGTAGAGACGGGGTTTCACCGTTTTAGCCAGGATGGTCTCGATCTCCTGACCTCGTGATCCGCCCGCCTCGGCCTCCCAAAGTGCTGGGATTACAGGCGTGAGCCACCGCGCCCGGCCTACTGAAGCTTTTAGAGATGTCTATAATTTCCTGAACAAATAGAGGGTTGCAATACATAAGTTAAATTACAAAACTTATTTTTATTACCCAACAGCATTCTTTTTCAGACGAACTTAGTTTTATGTTCATGTAAGTCACAGAAATTATTTCATTTGGCAAGATTATCTAATTACCAATATCAAAGGCCGTAAGCCCTAACCATGTTTGTGTAACAGTTGAAACAGAGAGGCTGCTAATGATTTGAACTCCCTATATTATTCTACCAACTAATTACTCAAAACTGCTATACAATATTCTTTCCATTCCTGTTGAGAAAATGCACACTTGATTTGCTCTTATTAAAATCGTGCACAGCATAGAAAAAATGTCAAAATTCCAAAGATAAATTTCATTTGATTGGATATACATTCATTCATCTTAATTATTTTTGACACCTTCTGCATTACGCTACAAGTGTCTCAAGAGAAAAGAGAGAGCTTACCTCCTGTAAGAACAGTTTATTGAGAGTGACATGCTGTTGTCATTATCTGAAAATCCTAAAAACCTACTTTAAAAATACAGGAAAATAATGAAAAATATAACCTAAATGAAATACAGCTGTGCAAAGTAACATACCATGTCATATATTAGTTGCTAATAAATATTTCTCATAAATGTCCATGAAATACAAAGTTGCATTCAACAACATTTTCTTAAATATATGTGAAGTACACTTTGCAAATTGTCAAATTCCAAAATAGGGAAAATTTCTCAAACAATCATTTCTGAGTGAAATAATTGTATATATGTTATGGTTAAGCATCACATGAATGAGTTGCTCTTAGCTTAGGAAAATGTTCAACTTTCTCATATATTGTTATCAACATTCGAAGGTCTGAAATTACAGAACTGTAGAGTTACACATAATAAATAGGCGGAACGGCAATCAGACTATTTATTCTAGTATCTCTGTCAAAGGAGATATAGAGGAAAACATAGTTACTAGAAGGCAATTGTGAATTCACAGGGGGCTAACATTCTCTTCAGTGACCAGGATGGGCTAAGTTTGAAAAACATCTGAAGATGCATGAGGAAGGGAGAATAATAGGTAAAATCAGCAGTGAAAGTAGCCTTTTGAAATTTGAACAGCGATCTGAAGCAAAGGGTGAGGTAGTAGGGCATGAACAATAAATACATGTTAGATATTTCATCTGAGTTAGACAAAAGATATCATAAATATAAATTAAAGCAAAGATCAGTTATATATTAACCATATACATATATATATATGGTTATGTAAATTGAAAAAATACAAAAAGGCAACAGTATTAGTATACAGAGAAAGGAATTCTGAGGATAACATCGAGGCACTCCTTTATGTAGATGAAATCTAGAGACCTTATACTTATTCTTCATCTTCCTTCTGGTTAATCCCCTTCTGCATGATGTTTCTAGCCCAGATTCTAATTGTCTAGTACCTTGATCCTTTCTCATCAATGCCCTTGGTTTGGACACTTTCCTTTTCTTAATTCAGCTTGCTTTCACTAGGATTAATCATCTCCAAATACTCTGCATTTTACTATAGGCTGCTTTTGAGGTCTGTAGTATCTGTTCATCACCATCTCAAGGCCAACCACCGTATTAACATTTTTTTGTTTGATCTTGGGCTCCTCAGCCTTGCTTTCAAACTTTTTATAAATGTGACTGCACATTACCTAGCCAACAATACCACCTTCTGCTCTAACAAAAACATAGTGATCAAGTTATATGTACCTTTTTCTGTTTTTTCTTGCTGCTGAGCTTGAATTCCTTCTTTCTTTCAAACCCCTTTGAAATGTCATGGATTTCCCTCCACCAGTCCCCAAAATTCCCATTCTTCAAGAATTAGCTTGGGTCTTGCTTATTTCAGAAATACTACTCCAATAAATCTAGTCACATGAAGACCATAGAATTATAGAATTATTAAATTCTAGAGATGGAAGGAAACTTTAGGAACACCCAGCAACAATTTAGTCTTCAGAAAGATAAGAAAAGGAGACCTCAGTTTTAAGATGAGTTGAATTCATCTAGCTACTGGAAGATTGTCCTTTCCTCTTCCATAACTTCTTAAGCTTTTTGTTTCTTAATTAGTAGGGGAGATGGCATAGTCTTCTATGGAAAGCCCAAGTGTGGAACTCAAATCTGTGTTTCAAACCCAAATCATCTAATTATTAATTGTATAATCTTATAAAAGTTAGCCTTTTTCCCTTTTACCTTCAAAATATCAACAATAATAAATATCTCAAAATGTCATTGCAAGGATTTAATGAGAGAATGAAAGTGATTTCTTCATTTTACTACCTTGCACATAATAGGTCCTCACTACATATAACTAATTGCTTAATTTGTGTATGCTTTGTTTTTCAAACTTACACACAGTATTCTAAGGACAAGAACAGTATTTTTACTTTTTTCTTTGTTTTCCTCTTATTAACTAATATCATAATTGTATATTAGACATTTGATACATAATTTTTCAATAAATGTAACTCTCCCTTTATATTTCTCCCTTTATATTTCTTCTTGTTAATCTCTTACTGAAAGTGTGTTCACAAAGGACATGGTGAAGCCCTATCTTGAGGGCTTACAAGAGAGCTGGATACTTACACCAAAAAGCACAAATAAAGAAGGAGTGAGTATGCCGCTTTATAAAATATGTAATGCTACCAAGTTTCCATTTACCAGTGTGTGCCAATAATTTGAAGAACTCTTACTGGCTATAGTCAGAAAGTGTCATTTTCCACTGAGCAAAAGGACTTTGTAATATTGGGGAGAATTCTTGAATCTGACATTGTTAAACATTGGGGATTTTATAAAATCACATTTTATAAGCATTTTTGAAAAATATTTAAAATGGAGCAAATTTTTACTTTGTTCTGAATAATTAGTGTCAAGGCTCTTCTGGGACTAGACTAACATTCTGAATAGATTAATGTTAGCTTCGCTGCATGGTGGTGATATGGGTGGATGTACAACTAACAAATGCCGATAATATCATCAAACAATTTCTGTGACTAATTTTGCATAGTGCTTCCTTCAATATTGTTCTGTTACTTTGAATGCAGTAAATTGGATTTGAGCATGGAATAAATTGCATGAACACTCATATTCATGTAATATCTGATTCTATGGCCTAGTATCATAAAATTAATATAATACCCCCGTAGGTATACTTTTTAAGAAAATAAATATATTAATTGGGCTGTTAAAAACACTTGCAAATAGGAATAATTCCATGCTGGGATATAGCATCAATATATCATTAATGTTAATAAAGAGGCCCAAAACTATTAAGTAAAATATGTAATATTATTCATTGCTTCTGCATGCAGAATTGGCTGCTTAGGTATTTTTATACGAGGCACTAAGATTGCACTTTGGATTATAAACACATTGATATGCTTTCTTTAAATGTAGACACTGAATGCCCACATTCCAAATCAAGGGCTAAAACAGAAAATAAATTGCATTGAATATTGTTTAGTAATATTATAAAGGAAAAAAGATACTTTTTTTTTACATTTAAGGTATTCTTTATTGCCTCCTCCCAAACATTTTGCCATTTAATACCAAATAAATTCTTCCTAAAGTCACAAATATATGAGAGACATTTTAAAAGTCATGAAGTTTATGGCATTTGTAGTACAACAATAACTCCAAGATAATTGGAAGGCCAAGATATTTAAATGAAAATAGTTAAATATTATTTTTTCTTGAGATATATTTTCCCCTCCCTTACTAGTTGTCAAACCACATCTATTCAATTAAATATTATGGATATTTATAGGGATTCCAAATATTCTAGATATCCCTCTGTGCCTTTAGTTACACAATTGTAGGATAACTGTGAATATAGATGTATGCCTATAATGGGAAAAAGAACATAGTCCCACTAGGAAACTAGAAAATATACCTAACTCTTAGAATCCATTAAATCAATAAGGCTCTTCTCAGGCTAAACACCTTACTGTAATCTCTATACCTACGGTTACTTCTTGGAAAGAACACTTGCTCTCTATCACTACGAAGAGTCTTTTGACTATTTATAGTGCTTAAGCTGACCCTCTAGCTCTAACATTTATTTCTCCAGGCTTTACAAACCTGGTTCCTTTAGCCTTTTCTCCTAGGACACATTTCTTAAATTGTTAATCATTTTTATTACTCCTCTTTGGTTTCTTTCCAAATTCTCTTTATCATGACTCAGTTAGGGATGTTTAAATGCAACCTACTATGCTAATAAGTGTTTGACTACTAATGGAGTTAAGAAGAAAATGTCCTTTGTGATTTATGTAGATACTATTTGCCTGAACTCTCCCTTGTTAAGGATTAGGGATAGTGGATACCTTGAATTCTTAAGATACTGCCTTGAATGTTAAAATCAGTGTATTTTAACAGAGCCAGAACTGGAAACTGATTCAAATTATGCAGAAAGCATAGCATAAAAGAATAAAAGCATCAGAGGGCAAAAGACAGAGAAAGCAAATGCCAACACCATAGGCTCTGAAAGAAGTTGAAGTGTTTCTGGTTTACCATTATTGGTTAGCTGACTATTTGTATAGGATCAGGGCAGATTGAATTCAATGTATATTTAAGGCAAGTATAATTTTTGTTTTAGCTTCAGAATATTTGGCCTTTTTTCAGTTATTAAAATGTATTTAAAGTTGATTTGCTTGCAATTATTCCAAATAAAATGGCATGGTAAAACATTGAACTGTGTAAGGGAAATCTTCAATTTCCAAAACTTCTCCCAAAGAGCCATTCATTTTGAGATATTAACAAAGTAGGTATGTTATTTGACCAATTTGAGATCAATAAAATGGTACTGTTTTTCTTGCCTATCATATGAAAATATCACATGTTTAGTAAATTTTTTGTATTTTATTCACTGTTGTACACTGTTGCCTTGAACACTGTGGCAGCTCCATAAACATTTGCTGAATGAAGAAATCAATGAACTTTATGATCTCTGGTTCCCAGTGCTGGTGAGTAGCAATGCTCCAGACACTCCAGATTGTGTCTGGAGTGAGCAAAAGGGGTGTCTGTACCAAGTTTTAAAACCAAGACTCATTTTTGACATTCCTGCCTACCATTTGTCATTCTTTTCATCTAATCTTTCACTAAATTCAGAAGTGTCAACTCTCCAATCCGGCCCCTCCTCTTACTTTCTTATATGCTTTGACTTATTCTGTGTCCCTCTAACTACTCATCTGATTTATTAAAATTGGTTCAGACACCCCTTTTGCTCACTCCAGACACAATCTTCCATATTTTTTCAGATTAATTAATTTTTTAAAAATACAAGTATAATTTTGGCACATCCCAACTTTAACATATCCATTATATTTGAAATTAAGAAAAGTCACTGTGTTAGCACATGAGTTCCAGGCTATATCTCTAGCTTATTTCCCTGTTCTTTCCTCTAGTCCTAGCTATTTCACTACCCTACATACAAAGAAAACTTTTAACACTCCCTCTCCTTCTCCCTGCTCTTCTGTTGACTGAACTCATGGCCACTAGCCCACTCCAAAGCATCAGCATCTCACTTTCTCACAATTTCATAACACTCCCCATAGCCAAGGGTTTGTAGTTATTTTTAAAAATTATGCTTTTGTAAAAGCTATTTTTAAATTTCAAATTCCAATACTTTGTTTTCCCCAATTTTCGCTAATTGAAGGTACTAATTTCAATTAATATCTTTACTTTTTTAAAACAACCGTTAACAGTTGACTACATATTTCTGATTACACATTTTTCTTTGTTTGGTTTCTAAGAACTTATGATCTCTGGCATATCTCATACTGTAATGATAGTGTCTTTTTTTGTGGTCCCAGCTATTCTAATACTTCATCTATCAAAATATTACATACTGATGAATCATGGAGACTTGATCTACAATCTGGTTTCACTGAACTCCTTTCGTGGCAGAACTAATCCAAAATATGGCTTCAACTTTCTTTTTCTCCGAGTGTTGATGGCTAACAAATTATATTTGCTACTCAGACATCCCTCCTGAGCTGTAGGCATGTGAGACATCCTTCTGGATAGCTCTCAGGAAACTTAAAAAAAAAACACACATTTAAACATGTACTCATTTAGCCTGTTTTTTCCTCTGCATTTCCACCTTTTAGAAATGCAGCAACATCCTTTTAGTTCCTCAGTCAGAAACACTTTGACAGTCCTTTTTCAACCTGCTCTTCTGTTGACCAAATCCACAGCCACCACTCCACTCCACAGCATCAGCATTTCACTTTGTTTATTTATTTTTTGAGACAAAGTCTTGCTCTGTCACCCAGGCTGGAGTGAAGTGGCGTGATCTTGGCTCACTGCCACCTCTGCCTCCTGGGTTCAAGAGATTCTTCTGCCTCAGCCTCTGGAGTAGCTGGGATTACAGGTGTGTGCGGCCACACCAGGCTAATTTTTGTATTTTTAGTAGAAATGGGGTTTCATGTTGGCCAGGCTGATCTAGAACTCCTGACCTCAAGTGATCCACCCTCCTCGGCCTCCCAAACTGCCAGGGTTATAGGTGTGAGCCATGATGCCCAGCCCTCTTACTTTCTTACTTACATTTTTAATATTGCCCCCCTAAAGACAAATGTATCTTTTGAAAATAGAAATCTAATTTTGTCACTCCACTATTTAAGTCCATTTTATGTTTTTCTATTTCCCTTAAGTTATAAAAATGTGACCATGACTTACAAGACCTATCTTTAACATTTCACCACTCACATCCTTCCTTTTTCGCTATTTCTCCTCTCTTCATATGGAATGTCTTTCAGTTCTTTCATGATAGTAACAATGCCATTGATTTCAGCTCTTTAGCCCAATGTTACAGTTGTTATTCATGATTAATTTTCTTTCCCAAATTATACGTTTCCTAAAGACAGGGCATATTTAACATACTATCTGGCATTTACTAAATGTTTGGTAAGTATTTGTTGAGTGACTGAAAGATCAAAACCTGAATGCTGTTAAAGGTGATGCACAAGAATATTTATCAAATTATTTTGTCATTTTCCCTTCCTTTCCTGTGATAGTGAACAGTTTAGTATATATTGCCTAATTTGTTTATTTCTATCTCAATTTAACTTTACTAAGTTTTGGTTGTTGTTGTTACTTTGTTTTTATCAATTTGTGCTTGAAAGAACCCCACTTCGTTCTTTGTCTCTTCCTTCCTTCCCCTCTTTCTCTCCTTCCTTCCTTCCTTCCTTCTTCCCTCTCTCTCTCCCTCCCTCCCTCTCTTCCTTGCTTCCTTGCTTCCTTCCTTCTTTCCTTCCTTCTTCCCTCCCTCCCTTCCTTTCCCTTCCCTTCCCTCCCTCCCTCCTTCCCTCCCTTCTTTCCTTCCTTCCTTCCTTCCTTCCTTCCATCTTTCCTTCTTTCCTTCCTTTTTACTTTACTTCATTAATCATATAATATTTAATACATTTTGCTAGGTACTTCAGTATGCACTGACATTTAAAACATTAAAAATAGTTTATAAGGCACCTTTTCTTTCTACCACCACATCTTAAGTTCCACATTGACTAATCACAACTCTTATGAATTTTAATTAGAACCTCATTTTTAGAACTGAAGGCTGTGCCTAAAAACTGTCCATTACTTTCCATTGAACTTTGAATAAATCCTAGTTTATTTACATTTTAACAATAACCTCTCATGAACTCATCTTTACCTACTCTTTGATCTTCTATCATACCACTTTTACCCTTTCTCACTATGTTCTTTTTCACACAGAATTTTTTTTAAAACCTCAAGCCGCTTCTTCTTCAGGCCTTTGAAAATGCTAGCCCCTCTTTCTGATATCTTTCCAGGCATCTTGACATTACTTGTTTCCTCTTTCCCTACTGGGTCTCAATTTTAATGTCTTTCTCTCAGAATAGTCCTTTCTGACTATGCAAGCTAAATTGGGTTTCTATTCCTATATATTCTCTCCTATCAATCTGCTCAATTATTTTCCTCAATGATAACTATGTATTTATTTAACCATTCTCCTGTTTATTAAGTTTCTTCCCAATGAGACTGTAAACTATGGGAGATCAAGGACCTTGTCTGTTTTGTTTATTATTACTGTAAAGTCATGTCACATCAGGCCTGGCCAAGAAATGTGCAGCGATTAAGTAAATAAATAGAGCCTTTCAATTTCCAGATGTATCAATGAAATTGATACACTATGGCTCTCTTTTGCATCTCTGGAATGAATATGATTCAAGTCGTGCCAAGAAACTCCTTTGGTCTCTTTCTCCTGCTCATATGTTGACAAAACAACACAGGCCCTCAGGTCCTGATGCCCGTTCAGAGGGTCCTGGTTTTGCCTTTATCACATCCTGAGAGTGACAGTCACCTGAAAACATGATATCTTGTGCCCTTTGGCATGTCAGACTCTGGGAAGCTGGGCTGGGAGACATCCAGACTGACTCAGACATTCATTGGTGTTCCAGGGGACTACCGGGAATGGGTAGGGTGCTGGCAGAGGTGTAACTTAAAGAAAAATTCATAGGCTGGGATAATTTTCACAGTTAAATCTGGGAAAACTCAAACAAAAAGAATGTAATGCTGAATATTTCACTGCAAACTTAATGATGGTACTCCAAGCAGAACCAACTGTCATTATCTTTGTACTATACTTGCTAGTAATTCAAAACTCATCCCCCACCAAATACTCATTCCAACTAATCCTCATTATGACAATTCACTTATTTCATACCCCTTTAATGCTTACATATTGGCTACATACCTATTACATTGTAAATCATAGTTTAAAATCCTTTCAGAGATAATTATTCTCTGTTAGAAATATCATTTTATTTTGAGTCAGAAGAAAGCCATTTTGCGCTTTTGCACAAATGTCTTACTCTTTCTGGGCTTCAGTTTGTTTACTTATTAAGGCTGGAATTCTAGTCATGCTTCTTTCTCAAAGATTTCTGTGGAACCTAAGGCAGCAAACTCTGAAGTTTCAAAGAAACACAGCACACATCAAATATTAGTTTTCAAAACTACATCCGTATCAAACAACTTTAATCTCATATTCATTTCTTTCGTATTCATAATTATCTGGCTTTCTAAAACATGGCTATGCATCTCTCTTTGTCTCTTTATTCTACGCTGAGAAAAGACTCTGCCAGTTTCTGCTGCCTGCAGTCTGTTAGCTAGAAAGATTCATGGCATGGTAATCAGGTCCTGAAGACATAACAACTTTGGGCTCACTGTTCCTTTTTCTGTCGTATTCCATATAAATCTCACAGAAACTCTTTCTTTCTGTATTAGGTCCCTTACAGCTGCTTTAATAAATCATGACAAACTTAGTGGCTAAATAAGTACATACTTTTTAAAAATTTTATAGTTCCGGGGGTCAGAAATCCAAAATAGGTTAGCATGGTTGCATTTCTCCTAGAGGCTCTAGATGAGAATTTTGTTCCTTGTCTTTTCCAGCTTATAGTAGCCACCCCAGTTCCTTAGTTTTTGGCTCTTTTTTCTATCTTTAAATTTTCTATCTTCAAAGCCTGCAGTGGAGCATCTTCAAATCCTATTTTCTTTCTTGTTTTTTTCTCTCTCTGTCTCTGTCTCACACACACCCCTGTTTTTGTATGTACTTCTCTATCTCTGACTCTAATTATGACCTTCTTACTTCTTTCTTGTAAGGAGCCTTAGATTGTGCAAACCAAAAGTAATCATCCTATCTATCTCCTGGTCCTTAATTTACTTACATCTACAAAGTACCTTTTGCCATGTAAGGTAACATGTTCACAGATACCAAAGATTAAGAAACATTAGGACATGGACATTTTTGGAGGACCTTTATACAGCCTACCATACTTTTCTTTCCTCAAATAACTAAATTGGTGAGAAATGCATTTGACCACACAGTATGAACTCAAGGCTAAGCTAACACGGCATTATTATTGCTTCCTGTCTTGTTGATACACTCATTTGGATCTCCTCTCCCATTGCCTCACTACTCACTCCCATTTGACAACTGGAACACACACAGAACTTCATGCCTATCCAGTACACTTCCAGGTCCTTAGAGTCCAGCTTTTCAAAAGCCATGCCACTATTATCCACAAACCTCACTATGGAGGATAGATAGGCCTTCCTGTCACCATCATGGCCCCTGCTACCTTGCAGTGTACATTGCATATGAAAGATGACCTTCAGCACAACCAAGAGCTTCTGTGATTGAAGGTCTCTTATGAATGAAATCTGGATTTTTGCTGATACTAATGACAGTAGGTACTATTACTCACTCTAGGTCCAAGGATGTTGGTGACAAATTTCCGTATTAGTTAAGTATCTATTTAGAAAACAAATTGTAGAGGTTTTTAAAGTAGAGACTTTTGCATACAAAAGAGAAAAGATAAATATCTTAATTTGGTGCTGAAATGTATGTTTAATGTAATATTCTGACCAAAGACCTTACATTCTACATTGGGATGCCAGTAGCTCTTTTCCTTTTTTGTTTTCACAAAAAACCTGTATAAAGTCTTATTCTGGTAGGATTAAGATCAAGATCTGTTAATGTTCTGATCATGTATACTATTGTTTTTTAAAAATTCTTCCTGTATTAGTGATATATATCCTACTGACACATGGAAATAAACTAAAAGTATTTATCATGATCTCTATGTATTATCTTTCATATATATATATATATACATATATATATACATATATATATATACATATATATATATATACATATATATATATACACACACATATAATTTTGTGTGTCTCATACTATTTTGTTGTTTTTTTTGTTTGTTTTTTGTTTTTTTTTTTTTTTGAGGTGGAGTCTCACTCTGTCGCCCAGGCTGGAGTGCAGTGGCGCGATCTCGGCTTACTGCAAGCTCCGCCTCCCGGGTTCACGCCATTCTCCTGCCTCAGCCTCCCGAATAGCTGGGACTACAGGGGCCTGCCACCACGCCCGGCTAATTTTTTTGTATTTTTAGTAGAGATGGGGTTTCACCTTGTTAGCCAGGATGGTCTCGATCTCCCGACCTCGTGATTCGCCTGCCTCGGCCTCCCAAAGTGCTGGGATTACAGGCTTGAGCCACCGCACCCGGCCTCATACTATTTTTATCCTACAAGGTTGGAATTCAAAAATAGCCTTTATACCTGTAGCGCGGAATATTTAACGTACATTTATTCTGATTTCAGATTTTAAATAATGGAACCTCCATTAGCTGATTTAATCAGGCTATGTTTCTCTCCATTATGCCTTATAAAACATATTCTTTAAATGTATTCTTTCACTCCTGGCTCTACAAGTGTCTGTCCTTCAGCATTTAGCCCGACTGTTGAGTGCTCATTATGTGTTGAGCATAATGCTAAGAGCTAGCGTTTCAGACGTGTGTAAAAAGAATCCTGGCCACTGCTTTCATGGAGCTTATGGTCAAGAGAGGGAGAAAGCAATAAACAAATATTTACACACATTGAAAACTTTCATAAAACATACTGTAAAGAAAACTACAGTGTTGTTATATGAATCTAAAACAGAAGCATCGACCTAGTTTGAATAAGCATGAATGGCTCCCCTGAGCAAGAGACATCTGAGTTGAGATCTCAAAAATCATTAGCAATTGACTAAGAAAGTGAAACTGGGTGAGAAGGCATTTCAGGCAGAGAAAACCATTGTCTGAAGCCTCAAAGTCTGATGCATGGAAAGTTGATGTGGTTTCAGTTAGTCACCTCATTTCCTACATATCCTACTGACATATGGAAATAAACTAAAAGTATTTATCACGATCTCTATGTATTATCTTTTATTGCAAAAAGGTATATGCACTCATACATATTAGTGGTAACAAGCACTGGGATCTATATATAAACTCTGTGAACACTCTATGAAATTACATAATTTGTTTTATATGTGAAAAAAAGTTATTTCTACCAACAGCAAAAATGTTTTGAGTCATGGGCTGGGTCTAGTTTTTGGAGATTTCCTAACAGCACCATATCTAGTGCCCTAGAAAAATATCGGCTGCCTGTCCATGAAGAAAAACATTAATCTATGGAACCAAAGCAAAGAGAGATCCACAATTTTCTAAAGCAAACAATACTTTCTTAAAAAATTAACAGTATCTAAGCACTAGACATTCTCATGGCAACTTAACTTAGAGATACAGGATTAGGTAACTATGACTATTTTTAATTAAATCTCTCTGGCTGGGGGATTAAATTAAACACAGTCCTTTTTTTGGACTTTGTTTTTTTCAGCCAAGCAAACTTTCATAATGACACATGTCTATTATCAATCTTATGTTCTAGAATAAATGAGGACTTTTAAATACAGTTGAAAAGAGTGTATAAATATAACAATGGGGAAATTTTGGACCTGCATGACTTTAAATGATCAGGTAATGAAATGAAACAGGAGGTTCATAGATGATACAGCATCAGCACAGTTGACAACCACCATAATTTGGGGGAAAGCCAGATGCTATATCTTAAGTTTTATTCAATAAATAAATTCAGTATTTTATTGCTTAACTGAATGCAAGATAAGAATACATGATCTAATGCCAGATCATGAATTTTGTAACAGAAAACACATCATGGTGCCTAACTTATAATTCAAATTATAAACTAGTCAATGATCATGGAGTCATTTTTCCTACATGGTGAGTCATCTAATTTACAACTTAGAAAAGCAATGATAATTCATCTTCTAATTTTATTTGTGATGCTTAACAATGTTATAGAGCATGTAAGTGTTTTCTCTCAGTGCTAAATTTAAAATCAATATAAATCAGATGTGTTTGAATTACAAAGTGTTTGCAATGGGAAAAACAACACAGCTTGTATCTGCAGTATTTATATTGTGAAAATATTTCTACATAAATAAATAGAAGTGTGAATGGTAACTTATTTTCAATTTTATCATTTTACCTCTTATATAAATACATAACAGATAACTCAGATCTCTAAATGGAATAAGACTGTAAATAATGTACTAAAGAAGGACTCTCAGTTTGGTTTTAAGCAGAGATTAATTTTTTATCGCTGGATGGGCTTATTCCATTAAGTACCTCTCTTGCCATGTCCATCATCTCCCCCAGTTTATTTTCTACACAGTAATAAGGAATCTTTTAATAATGTAAACAGGTTTGTATCAATTCCCTGCTTAAAATATACATCACATTATTCTTCCATTGCTCACAGGATTCTACTTCATGTGATTCCTGCTCAACTCTCTGGCCTCATCTCATGCCACAAATCCACCTTGTTTACTACGCCTCAGCCTAACAAGCATTTTTCAGTTTTTAATATAGTGCAAACTCTTTTCAACCTCAGGACCTTTACACAAATCAATCTCTTTGCTAAAAAACTCTTCTCGTGCTAAAGCACGGCTGGCTTCATCTCAACCTTCATTTCCAAATTTAAGATTACCTTGTCAGAGAAGCCTTTTCTCATCACTCAGTGTTAAGTAGTTCATTTTCCCAACACAAATGTACACCTTTATATTTTTATTCTCTGACTCTCTGATCTTTTCCTTCATTGGAATTTATTAGTTTATTTACTCTATTCACTAAACAAGAAGGATAAAAACCAAGTTTTTCTTATTCAATATAATATTCTTAGTTCTGGTAAAGTGAGTAACATTTTTAGGTGCTCTATAAAAACTTATTGACTACTTGACTAAGTGAATGAGTGAAAGAGGAAACTTCTTGGTCTGAGCTCGGTGACTCACACCTGTAATCCTAATAGTTTGGGAGGACTAGGCAGGCAGATTGCCTGAGCTCAGGAGTTCTAGACCAGCCTGGGCAACACGGTGAAACTCCCTCTCTACTAAAATATAAAAAATTATCCGGGCATGGCAGCATGCGCCTGTAATCCCAGCTACTCCGGAGGCTGAGGCAGGAGAATTGCTTGAACCCTGGAGGCAGAGGTTGCGGTGAGCAGAGATGGCGCCACTGCACTCCAGCCTGGGCATCAGAGCGAGACTCTGGCAAAAATAAAATAAAATAAAAAAAAGAAAGAGGAAATCTCTTTGTTGCAGTTACCCTTTAAAGCTCATCATGTCTGACACACTGAGATAATACGCTGAATGAGGGGAATATCAACTGTTGTGCAGCTGAGCATGGGGATTCTAATGGGGGTGTGTTATCAGAGTTTCTTTTGTGTCTATGTGTATTTTTCAATCTTAGGAGTTCTAGAAGAAAAACAATTTGTATGTTATTGCAATTTATATATTATTGTCTAGTCCTCATTGACTAAGCAGAGTGGTTCCAGACGAACACACACGGAGCATTATGGATCATTGGGTACCAGATGCTTTGGCAAGATCACCCTCACATCTGTATAATTACCGCTCCTTGGCATTGTTCAGAGCAGTGCACTTATCTTGTAGTGCTCTGGTCAGGGAGGGGACATATTTTTATAAAAATAACTTGGGTAACTACCTTGAGGAAATCTAGTTTACTAGTCCAGACATGGAAACTTGTTCATGTGATTATGATCAATGCTCCCTTTGAATGAGAGGAGTACAATGTTTAAAGAGAAATGGTCTATGCTTAAAGATTATTTCACCGAGGGTAGAGGATAAGAATTACAACATAAATATATGGAAGACTTTTGAGAAAAGGGGCCACCAATAATTTTTTTCTGTGGTTTTCATGGCAAAATCTTAAATTCTTGCCATTAATGGTAGTGTAGGACTCATGAGAACCCAGGAGGCTTGGCTAAAAGTCAAGAGACTGAACTTAGGTGACAGCAATGTTAGCATCTTTTAAATTAACTACTTTTGACATCCTCATGATTCAAAAGTAGAGAAATCCAGGACTAATGATACCAATGATTAAATCTAAGTATTAGTTTATAAGGTACCCGGTAGATAAAAATAGTGGGGTTACAAAGGGAACCTAGATAGATCTAATGAGATCCAATACTGCTGAATGACATTTAAGTTAATATACAAAGTAGTTTTTCAACTGCCTAGACTTTTCTATAATCTTAGAGATGTTCCTAAAACAATAAATGATATACTGTCTTACTGATTATGTACTTATATACTTATGAAATTTTACATCAAATATCACAAAATACTTTAGTTCAGTTTCTTTATGTACATAATGTTTTAAATGTTTTACATCTGTAAACTTGGACTTTAATTGATAGATTATTTAAGCCTATGTGAATATAATTATACATGTATATGTTTACTGTAATCAATTTTAAGTATCTTTCTGCTCTGAAACCTTCTTAATTTAGTAGGATTATTGCTTTTATCATAACAATATGCTTTAATAAAATGTGTATTTATATAATCACTATAAAGACAATTTTATCTTCAGTATTGAATTTAACTTTTTTTGCAATAGTGCAGTCACAATAATATCTGCAGTTTATGTCAACTGTAGTAACTCTTAAAACATAAAAGTCAAGCTTATCTTAGAAATTACTAATTTTCTATTTAGTTACCTGATAATACTTATACAATTTTGACATTATTTAACTATTTGAAAAAGTATTCTTCTGTTTCTGTAGCTAATACCTTAAAAGCCATCATTTCATATTATAAAAATGTATTTAAAACTTTTAATAAAAAATGTGCAGAAGTCATTTAGAACCATGGTCATTTTTAATTTACATGAAAAGTCGTACTTTTCCTATATGCAACTTCTGTAGCTGGATATGTTAAATCATATCTTTGAATGCAATTGTTTTAAAATAATTTCTAACATATGAATCAGATGCTAATATTGCTTCAGCATTTTTGTTTCTTATGGTCTTTTTGTTTCTTTTTTTTAAACATAGTCATATAGTCATACCTGGCTATATATATATATATACTTATTTTAGGTTCAGGGTTACATAAGTAAGTTTATTACATAGACAAATTGTGAAATTGAGTGTTTTATGAGCTTTATGTGATTAATGGTGTCACTCTGGTGCCAATGGTGGATAATAAATGTCAGCATACATTTAAAGACAGTTATTCATTTATTTTTAATATGTTTTAAGAGACAAAGTTAATTTGTGATTTTTTCATTAAATATGCCCTTTTGTATTTTAAATTTATTACTACCTAAAAAGTTATAACATTTAAAAATAGCATTACAATCGCTAAAAATAAATAAATAGTCTTACAGCATTTTGTAAAAGTCAAAATCTCTGTAGCAACAGCATCCAGAATATTTTCTATAGGTTCTAAGACAGAACTACTGAAATCCTATTTATCAACATATTTCATACACACCTAACCTATAATTCCTGATTTTTCCCACTGACTGCTGAATGTTGGCATGGTGGCTGCACACACTTTAAAGGCCAAGACATGGGACATGTGCTCACTGGTTGGTACAACATATTTCCTGCAGAAGCCACAGCATAAATTGCTTTTCCCACCAGCTTAGACAATAGAAGGACTTAGCAGTGCTGAGCTGCTTACATCTGAGCACAAACCATTTTGAGTGATACTCTTTCATGTTATTCTTGGAAGAGAGGTGTTAGTAATGTAGTGTCTAGAAAGGGTGAGAAAAAGGAAAATGGGCAATTTATACTTTCAGGTTTGACATTTGTAAAATTGAAAACTTTGTTCAGTGTACTTGTATCTCCCATTAGTAGACAAGACCGCTAGGCAGAAGCTGAAAGGACAAAATGGATGTTTATAAAACTCAGATTTACTATTAATTAAAAGTACTTTGTTATTAATGTCTATTAATTTCAAATGAAAAAAATCTGAAATACATTCTAAACTTGCTGTGACAATAGGACAAGAGTTGTAAAATGGGACTCCCCAGCCAAATTGCAACAATATGGAGGTTCTTCTATCTATGGGAGAACCTAAATCTGTGAAACCAACAAGGTGGTTTGTCAGCCAAATCCTAGAAGTAGAAATTTTAAAAAAATTGTTTGAAGTAGAATCAGATTCTAAAATGGAAAGACATTTATAGCAAGATTCTACATGGTATCCTCAATGGCCACGATAAAAGTAGAGTTACTGGATATTTGATGCTATCTCTTATACTCATAATGTTATTTATTACTGAGTCCTCATACTTCCCGTGACTCCAATATTAGTATCTCCATCATGCATCGGTGCCTTATGTAGCCACTGAATGCTGTGACATTCTCCTACATTGGAGGTGTAGCATTCAGCCAAATGACCACATTGCAACAAAGCTGAGGCCCTGCTGGAGGTAGAAATACTCAGAGTGCTTATTTTATTTTGTTTAGAAAGTTAGGTAAGTGGGAATATCATATGGTTTAAGTCAGTCAGATTATCCTATGTTTTATTTAAACTCTTAGACAATGGCAAAGTCAGAATTTGAGATCTGAAAGTTGCCAAAGTAAATTAGGGGTAAAAGTGTACTTACATGGCATGTTGTCTAACACATAGGGTGAAATAGTAACATGGAGACCATGTTGGCCTGTGTAACTCAAGTTAGGGAATCAAAAGATGGAGGGCCCTAGAAAATACGTTCTGTGGTAGCCTTATATGAGAGGAGAATGGGGATCCCTAAAAAAGGGAAGTGTTAGATGATCAAAATACCCAAGAGTTCAGTAAGTCTGGTGAAACTATACATGCTGTAGAAAAGAAAGTTAGTAAGAGACCAGTTGACATGGGAGAAATTATAGCACTCATAAGCAGAGATTAATTTTTAGTCAGGCAGAAGTTTAGAACCCCAAAACCAGAACACACATTAAAGACTCTTGTCAATAACATTGTGAGGGTTAATACTGAGTGTCATCTTGATTGGATTGAAGGATGTAAAGTATTGATCCTGGGTGTGTCTGTGAGGGTGTTGCCAAAAGAGATTAACATTTGAGTCAGTGGGCTGGGAAAGGCAGACCCACCCTTAATCTGGGTGGGCACCATCTAATCAGCTGCCATGACAGCTAGAATATGAAGCAGGCAGAAAAATGTGAAAAGAGTAGACCGGCCTAGTCTCCCAGCCTACATCTTTCTCCCCTGCTGGATGCTTCCTGCCCTTGGATATAGGACTCCAAGTTCTTCAGTTTTGAGACTCAAACTGGCTCTCCTTGATACGCAGCTTGCAGAGGTCCTATTATGGGATCTTGTGATCATGTGAGTTAATACTTAATAAACTCCTCTTTAGAGATATCTCTATATAGATAGATAGATAGATAGATAGATAAATAGATAGATAGATAAATATAGATATATCTTATATCTACGTAAGCCCTTAAGTGTTGTCATATGATACATAGGTTTCCTGATTTTCTAATAGGATATCTATATATCCTATTAGTTCTGTCCCTCTAGAGAACCCTGACTAATACAACCACCATGAGGTTATATAGGCATCTGAATCACCCGTGGACATAATGAAGAACTTGAAAGCATTTGCTGCTCAGAGTGAGACAGAAGAGAAAATTACAACTATTTATTTCTACCATAGGTTATTTCCAAGGCATTTTAATCAAATTCTTTCTAAACTATTATTTTGCCAAATATTCATTTTAGCATTTTGCTTCCACCTTTCAATTCTATATTTTCTGAACTTTTCCACCTACTGGTAGATTGTCATTCCAAGATCTTCATTTCTTACACCTTTTAACTTTGAGTCCTTTAGTCCTATCTGTATTTCCCTCTCCCTATTTTTAAAACCTAACTCCGTCAAAGTTTTCTCTTTTGTTACCTTAATATTGCCATTCTATAACTTCCTTAATGTTAAATAAAATAGTGGATTCATATCTCTTTTAGACTCTCTATATTCCTTTCAGAAACCATTACATATTCAGCCACAAAAAAGAATGAGATCCTCATTTGCAACAACATGGATGGAACTGGAAGTCATTATGTGAAATGAAATAAGCCAGGCAGAGAAAGACAAACATCACATGTTCTCACTTATTTTGTGGGATCTAAAAATCAAAACAATTGAACTAATGGAGATAAAGAATAGAAGGAGGGTTGTCAGAGGCTGGGAAGGGTACTGGGAGTGGCAGTGGGAGTGAGGAGGAGGTGGGGATGATTAATGGGTAAAAGAAAAATAGTTTAAATAAATGAGACAGTATTGGTAGTACATAGGATAACTACGGTCAATAATAATTTAATTATACATTTTAAGATAACTAAAATAATATAATGGGATTATTTCTAACACAAAGGATAAATGCTTGAGAAGGCAGATAACCCATTCTCCGTGATGAGATTATTAGGCATTACATGCCTATATCAAAACATCTCATGTACTCCATAAATATATATATACCTACTATGTAACTACAAAAAATTAAAATTAAAAAATGTTAAAAAAACAAAATTCGCACATTAAAAAGAGAAACCATTACAGTTTGATGGAAAGATCACAGAGCACTAATTTAATAAAAACCTGAGTTTGTATCCTGACTATGATCACTTGAGGCCATAACGTACTGTTGCTGTGGTTCTTATGTCTAATCTCAAACTCAAGAATATCTTTCTTTTGAAGCATTTCAGGGAGACTTAAAGAGTAAATATATATGACCACACCTCAAAAACTACATGATGTATAGAGGGACTGAAAAAAATAGAGTGGAATATGAATCTAATTCTAAAGCAGTACTCAACTTTTGAAGATAAATAAAAAGAAGGCATATATTCATTGAGTGTCATGTATTTACTGAGCGTCTGCTGGATGTCACTGTGCAAGGCACTGAGGAGATAAAAGTAAACAACAACCAAATTAAACACTGTCTCAACCTTCGCAAAGCTTAGAATATTAGTGCGATTCTCTTAAAAATATATCCCGAATAAAGCGAAAGCCAATTTCCTTGTGATGTAAGACCTCTCAGTAAAAGTTTTGCTCATGCCAGACTTTCACAAACTCAGCTGGAAATATAAACAGGAATCACCCTGTAATGAACACAGGCAGAGCCCTTAAGTGTTGTCATATGATACATAGATCTACTGATTTTCTTCTCTTGTCAAGCTACTGATTAGAGAGATGGGTAGAACCTAAAAGATATTTGCTAAAGGATAATAAAAGACAAGGGAAAAGGAAGAGCTCATTTATCTGGTAAATAAGGATATCTGCACCTGCTAAAAAATAATTTTGGTTTGGATAAACATTTCAAATGTCAGGATAAATCAGAGTGTCAACTGGCGAATATCCAATTTTTCATATGGTCAACTAAGCCAAACTTCAGCTCCTCCAATTCTGTAAGTCTATCTATGACTAATTGCAAAGCAGGAGAAAATTCAAATAATGGTTACAACTTTCAAGTTAAAAATTTCAGAGTCTAGACTGCAAATTTTTTATAGACAGAAAATCTGTTTTTGTGCTTTATAACAGAAACATTTTCATTTTTTTCTGGTTGATTAACAAAGCTAAGAGCTTATATTTTCACTAGAATCCATGTTCTTTTTTGCAATCTTTCCTGGGGGATTTCTACGGGAAATAAAATCATGAAGCAACATTAGTTTTTTTGTTTTTTTTTTTTCTGAATGGTTTAAATAATAACTACATCACACTAAGCCTCACAGCCCAGTCTTTTAAAAATCTGATTTCCAAAACAATGTGATAGGCAAAAAAAAAATTTTGAACAAAAATTATTGATTTTTGGAAAAGCTGACTTCCAACCACACTATAAATATATATTTTTATAAAGGTCTCCATAATTGGACACACATAAAGTCACAGGTGCGACTTGCTAGAATATTAATGAAGGCTTTGTTTGAATGCATCTAACCATATTTTATCACCCAGATATAATCCAATAAACTTCTATGGCTGTCTATAAGCAGAATTTTTAGAAGGGATAATAGGAATCAGATACACTCTGATGCTGTGCTGTATGCATTTGAACAAATCATTCTAGCCACAGTACATGAAATCTAGCAAGAAACCTGCTCCCAGCCATGGCCATATCTCTAAGCTAGCTTAGCCTAAAAGAAGTAGAGCATTTTCTTAATTATTCAGTCTAGAGAGCAAATCTTTTTCTAACTAGTTTTATTCTAGGGAGGGTGTCAATTTAGTTACATCTAGCTATTCAACTTTAGCTAATATTTGTGTTGTCTGTACATAGAACCTTGAAAAAATGGGGCATAAAAATGACATAAGAAATAGGTCAAGAGATCACTGTTACATACATATGACTGAAAAAGATGAATTCTCCTCATAAGGAGGATTTTCATGAATAAGTTCATATGTCCTTAGAGACTTACAAGTTTTAGCAAATTAAATAGCTCTTATATTTAATATTAAGGCTGAGTATGTCCAGGCACTCGAGTAATGTAGATTGTACCTGTAATGGAATTGTAGTTAGACGTATAATGTAACTGTTTTGATCTGAGAACTGCCTATATAGCCATGTAGCCACCTTTAGAAAAAGAAAAAAAAAAGAAAGGGGGAGGAAAAGAGAAACTGGGGGAGAGAGAGGAGGAGAGGAGAGAGGAGAGGAAGGGAGGTGGGGAGAGTGTGAGGGAAAAATTACATGAGAATATTCAAGTCAAAACTTAAGAAAAATTACAATGAATAAGATTGAGTGGATCTAGTACATAGGATGTTTTGATGAGTGATAATATTTTTCGCCTTAAACTCCTGAAAATTATTAACAGAACAACATAATGTATTTGTTATTTATTTTTGGTTTCACAAGATTTCCTCCAAGAAGTAGACTCTGAAATACAGGTTAGTGAAAAGGAAAGTAATTAGAAATTTCTCTTGTGATGAACACATGTGCAGAGGGTAAGGAAGCAGTATTAAGATGAAGAAAATGTTGAGCTGTGATGCAGTCCCAGTGAAGCTTTCAGCCACCTCACAGTAAGCTTTGATGTTGAGATGGCCCAACAGAATTGTCCTGATTTGGGGAGAGGAAGCCAGGCATTTACATTTTTTAGTTGATCAGTAGTTTTGGGTTATGGGCTGCCAATGGTAGCGGTTATGACTTTTGGATGGCCACTTTTTCAACCAAAGCCCATCCTAAGGATTGCTTAGATAAAGATTTTCTTCTAACAACACTCCCAGTAGCTAAGGGATAAATCTTCCATTTTGAAAGACAATTCTGGAACAAGCAGGGACTAGGGTGAATCGACTGAAGTGCCTAAGGAAAAAATTCAAGGAAATGCTCATTCATATGACCTTGAGAGGGTGTATCTCCTTAAATTCTGTGCCCTATGAGCTTCGTCACTTCAAATTAGTGCTGGCTTTTTTCAGGAGGGGGCATCACAGGTACTACCATAGTTGATTCTTATGTTGCTAAGATCCACTTCCTTCTGCAGAAGTTTAAGTAGTTCTTCTAGGATTCCAGAGTGCTTCTCTTCCTGAAAGAATCAGAAAAGGAAGATGAGCAGGATGAACTACAGTCCCAGCTACTGTTACTGGTCACAAGACTTCAAATTATATTCATCCACTTTCTTAACTACTATCCATTCTACATTTGCCTCATCCTCAGGTAGCACCCCTACTGGTCTTAATGGTCTTCTTCGTAGTGTGATTCAAATTCTCATCCTTAAATTATCTGTACCCTTTGTCACAGTACCCTTCTCAAACAGGGTGTCCACACTTGTTCACTTACTGTCAAATGGGCAAGAGAGCACCAAGAAGTACACAAGTGAATTGTCTATATACCAAACCTATTTTTTCTGCTTCCACTGTGTAACGTCATCCATGTTTTCAGTTGCCTCTCTATCACCTTAATTACTGATACCAAGATGTTGACTCTTCTTCCCTGCTGATTTTCTGTCATGAAAATCCCAAAATCTCAAGTGGCAGCTATGACTTGTAATTCAATGGGATTCTTGCAGTGCTTTTGGTGGACATGTTCTCTCTTTGAGAACCAGAACTTCTGAACTCATGGAGCCTAAATGGGAAGCATAAATTCTCCAATTGATTTATTGGCAGTGATGGTAAGTGGAACCACTTCTGCTTTCAGCCCCTGTTTACAGGAGCAAAATAGTGTACCTACTAGAGACAGTGTACCATATATTTTTTTTTAAAAGTTTAAGATATACATTGCATGTTACCGTGCAATACAAATGTCCTCATGTATACTCACTCCCATATGTCCAACCACCTGCCTGTACCTCATATTTTCATGACCCTGATTTTCTAATGAATCCATGTATACTTTAACCTCGAATCACTTCCTTTGTCACACACTGGATAAACAGGTGCGCAAGACAAAGCTCTGCCCATTGGATGATTTTTTTTAACTGTCTTTCAAGACTTCCCTGAGTAAAACTCTAGTTTAATAGCTGTCCATATTTGGCCTGTACCTACATACTAATCTGACTTATTAATCAACCAAATTTGGTCTTTTTTCTCTTCCTTCAGAGTCATAAAGAATTTCCCATGCAGGTGTGAGGAAGAGATACTGATGCAACAATGGTGTATGACACAGGGTTTTGAACTGCCCACTGTGTAGCTTGCCTGTGCCCTCTGATCATGGATATGGTGCTTCCATTTTATAAGTGGTTGTGCTAGGTCTATCTGACCTTAAAACTTGGCAGGTCAGACATAACCAAGGACTTCTACACTGCACCCTACTAAAGCTAGTAGATTTTTTTTTTTTTTACATATGGATTGGTATGTTTTTTGACCTGGTTTTCCCAGGTGTGAAATATACTACTTCCATAACCAAAATAACCCTTCCAGACAGTATTGTGTCTGGAATTGTGTGGGAGGTGCAAAATGCAATTATTTGTTCTTTACTATGGAAGGGATGTCTGTGTATGCCTCAGACTACTGAATTTCTTAAAAAAAAATTTCTATTATGCGAGGTCTTTAAATATTTATGTATTAGTCAATTTTGTGCTACTAGATCAGAATACCACAGACTGGGTAATTTAAAATAAACAGAAATTTTTTCGATTAAATTTTGAAGGCTGGGAAGTACAAGAATAGGGGTCAAAAATCTGGCCAGCGTTTTCTTGCTGCATTATCCCATGATGAAGGGCAGAATGGTACACTTAAGCTAGGAGAGAAAGGAAGAGGGGACTGAATATGTTATTCTATGAGAAACCCCCTCCAGTGATAACAAACCCTCTCTTACAATGGTGGTATTAATCCACTCAAGAAGCCAGTGCCCTCGTGACTCAACCACCTTCCATTAGGCTATACCTCCCAACACTACCACATTGGGGGTCAAGTTTCCAACATATGAACTTTGGGGACACATTCAAACCATAGCATTTTATAAGGTTTATAGCCAAATATCTGCAATACTTGTGTCTTACCAAGACTTCTAGTGTGCTAGTCTTTTTTGCTCTGCATTATGTCTTTAATATAGCAGACCACTTGATGTTCTGTGGGATGTTTCAAGTATCCAGATATGATAAGATTCTATTACAAAAGAAGGAAAGAAGGTTAAAATAGCCTAAAGAAAAATTTTGGAATACACACAGTCCTTCATTTCAAGGGAAGGTGAAGGATTGCTGATCCTCTTCTAACAGCATAGAAAAATGCATTCATCATATCAGTAGCCACATACCATGTACTTGAGAAGGTATTAATCGGTTGTAGCAAGGATACCATATTTAGCACAGAGGCAGTAATCAATGCTACTTCTTGGTTGGGTTTGCAGTCATCATCCTCTGTGTCCTTGCAAACACAAACAGGCCTTCAGGATCTGTGTGATTTTTGTAGGGCAAACTGATAAAGTAAAAAATATAAAATAAAGTGGATCATTTTGCCAGCATTCTTTAGGTCTTTATGGGTGGTGCTAATTTTTTACCATTCTGCTTGGAGTATGATATTATTTGGCCAGTAGTTGGGAGAGAGAATTTTAGAGATTCCCACTCACTAAGAATGTCTATGACCCACTGTAACTGCCAAATATGTCTATTTCAATAATACATTTGGGGATTGGGAAAATGACTAGTAGGTGAACCTACACATTCAGTGGACCCACTGTGACTTGAACCTTGGCCTGGACTCCGTTTATTACCTGACTTCCATATACCTCCACTCTAACAGGGCCCATAGTAATCTTCTGATCTCCAGGTATAAATATCAAATAGAACACTGTGTCCAAAAAGTTTTACAATACTTGAATAATCATTTTTCCAAATGGTCAGTTACCCAAATCATTAGTGGGAAGTTGTTTTAGGGAATTATTAGAGAATCAATATTATGTACACTGCCACAGTATTTTAGGATCCTTACTCCTAAAGACCTGGCCTCTCATTCAATGTGGTCCAGTTATAAAATTGGATCAAGTCTACAAACAGGATAATGGCTTATGAGTCTCTATTAGGAACATTGCCCTCAGCTTGTTGCCTACCCATCCTTAGTAATTCCTTATTGTGCAGATTGAGCAATACTCTTCTGAGTCTAGGGATTTTTATGTGTTTAGCTTTCTAAATGCCCACTCTCCTTGGCGCCCCTTGGACTTTACTTCTTATTACAATAATTCTGTATACTTGATGTCTAATAGTTGAGCATCATCACCTGGACTCTGTTTTTTTTTTTTGTTTGTTTGTTATTTGTTGTTGTTTTTGGGCTTTTTGTTTTTTTTGTTTTGTTTTGGTTTGATTTGGGGTTGTTTTGGTAGCATGATTCCCATTGCTAAGCTCAGTTCTCAGACAAATTATCTTACGGTCATCCCTGGACTACCAAGGAGAACCACTACTAAACTTCTTAGTGATGCTGCTTTATCCTCACCAGGACATTTCTTATCACGTTAGAAATGGTATGATGATACAACATTCAAGACTTTTCATGACATAAACCATATGGTGAGTTTTCAGCTTAATGTGTCTGCTCAGACATGATCACTTCTTTGCTTTTAATACCTTCTTCCACCATTTGCTATGTCAATTCTATCTCATTGGTGTAGGGGCATTGCATCTCATGTTTCTAGGTGCCTTTCTAGCAGCATGTTGGAACCATTATTTTGGAAACTGGTCAAGGCATTAAATTCTGTATCCAGAAAGAGGGCTTCCATATTGAAAAATACTCTTACTCAAGTGGATGTCCCAACTTCTCTTGATCTGTCACTACTCCTTTAGCATCTGCTTGTACATGTCTATGTCTTATAGCTCCACTGGGAAAAGGTTATCTCCTTGTTAGTAAGCTTAGAAAGTCCCTAGCTTGGTATTTTGTGACTTTTCATACTGTCCTAGTAGGATAGGACGTGGAGTACGTGTAGTCAGTTAGGGGAGAAATCTCTGTATAGTCTTGAATCAAGTCGAGAGCATTAATTCCGCTATCAAATAGTTGAGAAATTTAAAGGACTCCCAGGATCCAGGGAATTGTGGGACTTAAAAGATTTGGGGGTGCCTTAATTAAAATATCTAGAGCTATGTTTTTATTTTTTTCTCAACTAAGACCCTGACCTGGCTATTACTTATCTCCCTCCCTTGAGAGTTTAACCTTTTGTGAATCTGCTGAAACATGTCCTCCTACTGCAGGAGATGAGAGCCTCTTTTCATGCTACCAAGATAATCCTCTGATTTTTATATATAGCTTTTAATTGAGTTAATAGCTCCCAGTTTTTGATTCCTTTACCAGAGCATCAAGTAAGTTCAGCATGAGTCAATTCTACTATCTATGTAGTAATTATTTCCTCCATAGTTTTCAAGTACCTGAAACATCAAATGAGCAAATGCGTTTCCCTTTGTATACAAGAGAAAACAGTTCATTTAGCAATTTCACTGCTACATTTTACTGAGGATTATTTGTGCCTCATCTACCACCAATGAAGAGGTCTTCATTTACAACTACATCAGGTGATCTGCTTCAAAAGCCCATCTTACATATCACTGCTGACAATAACTTTCACAGGTTGAGTTCCCTGGAAAGCAGTCTAAGAAACAAAAGTTAGAGTTTAATGTCTATGAGGGAGTGCTCTTGAGATTAACATCTGTGAAAGACAGAGGATGATAGTAGAATATGGCGGAAAGAGAGAGTAAACTATGATGAAGCTCTCAGCCAACTTCATGGAAATCACTGCAGCTGGGATACAGTTACAGAGTCGACACAGTTTGAGCAACTATCTGGCATTATACCTCACATTGATCAGTCACTAGATATAGATTGTATGGAGAACTTGGGCAAGGTAGTTTTCTTCTGTGGAGGAAATCCTCAAAGAAGTTTAATATCTGAAAGCCTTCAGGGTCTGTCTGAAGGCTTTTTCGTCAACACTACCAAGAGGTGGGAGAGTAACTCCCCTTTCTCTTGTGATTGTGGATCTGATTGGTACATTAGAGCATCTACTACAGTTGGTACTTTCTTTGTTTTCTATCGAACTTCAGGAATCTGGTGTCTGTTTCTCTACTATACTTTACTAAAAGTACAATTGCAGTAATTTTTTGCAGTAAATGCATTAAATAATTTTCCTTCCAAATCTTAGTTGATTACATTATTTTCTTTTCTTGAGACATACTCTCACTCTGTGTTGTGGCCTTGGCTCACTGCAACCTCCACCTCCCAGGTTCAAGCGATTCTCCTGGCTCAGCCTCCCGAGTAGCTGGGATTACAGGCACGTGCCATCACACCCAGCTACTATTTGTATTTTTAGTAGAGACAGGGTTTTGTTATGTTGGCCAGGCTGGTCTTGAACTCCTGACCTCAAGTGATTCACTGGCCTCGGCCTCCCAGAGTGCTAGGATTACAGGCATGAGCCACTGCGCCTGGCCTGATTACATTATTATCATTTATTGAGTTTGCTGGTTAATACACTATTCTCTGACTTTTGTTATATTTCATAGTATTATATATTTGTTTGGGGGTTTTTCTTCCTATACCCATTATTTTTATTTCTGAATATTATTTCCATTGTATGTATGGACCATGGTTTGTCCATTTACCTAATTAAATGGAGTCTTGTTTGCTTCTAAGTTTTGGTAATTATCTGCCATAAACAATCACATGTTGTTTTTTTCTTTGTTTCTGTTAACATAAGATTTTAGTCAGTTCTACATCTACCTAGTGTGCAATTCTTATTTCACAGGGTAAGAATGTGTTTAGTTTTGTTAGAAATTATCAGTCTTCTAAAAGTGTCTGAATCAATTTGCATTCTCACCTGCAATGAATAAGAGTTCCTGTTGCTCTGAATATTCACGAGCTATTCCTATTGTCGATTTTTTTTTAACCATCTAATAGCCATGTACTGATAGATCCTTGTTTCAATTTGCAGTTTCTCTGGACAAATGATGTTGAGTATTTTTTTACATGCTGATTTTACATGCTGGTATTCCTTCCGTTCAAGTCTTTAGCCTGTTCTAAAATTTCGTGTTTTTTTCCTTTGTTTGTTTTTAGGAGACTGGGTCTCACTCTGTTGCACAGGTTGAAATGTCATAGTGTGATCATAGCTCACTGCAGCCTGAAACTCCTCTTAGGCCCAAGCAATCCTCCTGTCCTTGGCCTCCCAAAGTGTGCTGGGATTACAGATGCATGCCATCATGATTGGCTAATTTATTTTTTTTTATTTTTTATTTTTTTGAGATGGGGCTCCCTATGTTGCCCAGGCTGATCTCAAATTTCTGTCCTCAAGTGAGTCTCCTGTCGGCCTCCCAAAGGGCTGAGATTACAGGTGTGAGCTATTGCACGGCCTTCTTTTCTTAGTAACCAGTTTTAAGAGTTATTTGTGTGTTTTCATACAAGTTCTTTATCAGCTATGTGTTTTTGCAAACATTTTCTCTCAGCCTGTGGCTTGTTTTTAAATCTTCTTTTAAATATGCTTTTCACATAAGAGACAGGTTTAACTTTAATAAATTCCTTATTGTTTTCTTCATAGCTTGTTCTATTGGTTTGTATTAAGAAACTTACAACCAATTCCAAGGTATGTAGGTTTTTCTCCTGTTTTCTTCAAGAATATTTCAGTTTTTCATTTTACATTTAGTTCCGTAGTCCATTTCGAGTTAATTTTTGTGAAGTGTAAAGCCTCTCTTTTAAACAAATATATGGTTGTTAATTTTCTGGCACAATTTGTTGAAAATACTATCCTTTCTCCATCAAATTGATTTCGCTCTTTTGTTAAACATCTGATGACTATATTTGTATGGATCTATTTCTGCTCTTTCTAATCTGTTGCCTTAACTTATGTGTCTATTTTTTCAATACTACACTGTCTTTTAATCTGTAGCCATAAACTATGCCTGGAAATCTTAAAGTATAAGTCCTTCAACTTTGTTATTCTTCACTATTTTCTTGGCTATTCTAGTACCTTTTACTTTCCATATAAAACTTAGAATCAGTTTGTCTATGTTCACAAAATAGCTTTCTTGGATGTTGAGAGGGATTGCATTGAATGTTATATTAGTCCATTCTCACTCTGCTATGAGGAAATACCTGAGACTGGATATTTTATAAAGGAAAGAGGTTTAATTGACTCACAGTTCTGTATTGCTGAGGAGGCTTCAGGAAACTTACAATCATGGCAGAAGGCAGAGGAGAAGCAGGCACCTTCCTCACAGGATGGCATGACAGAATGAGTGCAAGCAGGCGAAATGCCAGAATCTTATAAGACCATCAAGTCTCAAGAGACTCATTCATTAACATGAGAACAGCATGGGGGAAACTGCCTCCATGACCCAGTTACCTCCAACCTTGGTCCTACCCTAGACATGTGGGGGTTATGGGCATTACAATTCAAGATGAGATTTTGGGTGGGGACAAAGCCAAACCTTATCAAGTGTATACATCAATTTAAAAAAATTGACATCTTCACAATTAAGTCTTTCATTCTGTGAATATGGAATATCTTTCAATTTATTTAGATTTTATTTGACTTTTTTTCAGAATTCTGTAGATTTTTTGCATGTAGATCCTGCTTACATTTTGTTAGATTTATACCTAAGCATTTAATTTGGGGAGTGTATTAGAAAGGTTACTTTCAAAAATTTTAAATCTCAATTGTTTCCATATGTTTAATCTAACAGTTACTGATAGGAGGATGTTGAAGAGTGCACCTAAAATAATGGATTTATGTATTTCTTCTAATAGTTTTACTAGGCTTTGCTTCCTTGTATTTTGATTTTCCACTATTAGATTTTTAAATATTTAGGATTGTTAGGATTTCTTGAAGAACTGACTTCTTTATTATCGGGTAACACCTCTCTTTTTTATAATTTTCATTTTTTTTCCTGAAATCTGCTTAATTTGAGTAATATATCTACTCTACCTTTCTCTTGATTAGTGTTTGCATAGTAGGTATTTCATCTCTGTACTTTTAACCTATCAGAGTCTTTATATTTAAAGTGGATTTCTTGTAGAAAACACATAGTTGGTTACTTTGTTTAAACCACTCTGAAAACCTCTGTCTTTTAATTGGGATATTTAGACAATTTGAAATTAAAGTAATTATTGATGCAATTATTAATTCATTTGGGATAATATCTACCATGGTATGTAATTGTTTTATATATGTTCCATTTGTTATTTGTTTCTAATTTTTCTTCCTTTAATTTTGTCTTCTTCCCTGTTATATCAGCCAAATTATTTTTTTAAAATGTATTGTTTGTACCAGAGTTTTCAGTTTATATTTACAGGTAATCTAAGTCTATCTTCAAATAGCACTATAATACCTTATGTGCAGTGCAAGTATCTTATAACAAAATCTTCCTTTCTATATGTACCGTTAAGTTTCTGAAAAATGTCATTTTTGTACTACCTGAAGAAAGTATTTTAATAATTCTTGCAAGGTAGGTCTTTTGGTGATGAATTACCTCCTGCTTTGTTTGCCTGAGGAGGTTTTAATTTTCCCTTCACTTTTATAGTATAATTTTGCTGGATATATGCTTCTCAGATGTTATTGCTGTCTTCTTCCAACACTTTCAATATTTCACTATACTTTTTTTGCTTCCATGATTACTGCTGAAAAGTGTTTTGTAATTTTCTATTCTTGTTACTGTACAGATAAATCATTTTCCCCCTTCTAGCTTAAGATATTATTTTTCTGCATTTTTAATATAATATGACTCAGTATAGCTTTTGTGGCATTTAGTTTGCTCGGTGTTTTCTAGCATTCTGTATTTTTGTTTTGGTGTGTCTCACTAACTTTTGAAAATTCTCAAGTATTATCCTTTCAGTATTTCTTCTACTTCATTCTTTCTGTTCCCAATAGTATTCCAATTAGGCATATGTTATATCTATTGAAATTGTGACACAATGTTTGAATGTTCTGGTTTCTTTTTCATCATTTGTTCTACTTACATTTTAGTCAGAAGTTTCTATTGACATACCTTAAGCACGCTGATTTTCAACTCAGCTGTATCTAGTCTACTAATGGGTCCATCACAGGTATTCATCATTTTTGCTACAGTGATTCTGACTTCTAACATTTGTGTCTCATCCTTCCTTAGCTTTGCATCTCTTTATCTACAATATCCATCTATTTTCGCATGGTATCTACTTTCTCCAGTAAAGCCCTTAATGTATTAATTTCTCCGGTAAAGCTATTAATGTATTAATTTCTCCGGTAAAGCTATTAATGTATTAATAGCTACTTTAATTTCCTTGTCCAATAGTTCTAAAACCTGTGTCATATCTAAATCTTGTTCTGACTCTTTAAACTCTGTTTTTATTTTTGTTTTTGCTTTTTGGTTAGCCTTGTTACTTTTTATTAAGAGCCAGACATGTTGCATTGGGTGGTAGGAACTGAGTAATGTAGAACTATAGTATAAAGTTTTATGTTAATTTGCCTACGAGTTGATTTAATGTTTCCTACAACTGTAGGTGTCAGAGATTTCAAATTCCTATAGTGTCCTTGCGCTTACTTCCTTTCCAGTCTTCCCTAAGTCTTCTTGTTGAAAAAGAGTCTGTGTGATGCATCTCTTTTATTTTAGTTCAATGATGCAATGTTGGTGTGGTGATAAATTGTGGGAGAGGGGGTGTATCTTATAACTTTCCAATTAAATCTCTGGCCTAGATTTTTACAGAGCTTTTTCTTTATAGCTCCCACCCTTTCCGCTTCAGGCCGTGACAAGATGACAAGAGGAGTCTGTAATGGGAGGAATGTCCTTCTTCCATGGCTCTAAGATGTGGCTGTATTACAGTATTTCCCTCCTGGAAAATTGATTGTTCATAATGATGGGATTAGCCATTCATCTTGCATTATATTGAGGTACATTGGCATTACCTTGGTGGAAAATTTATATGAGAGTTATGTATTATACTCAAAGACAGAAAGATACAGTACAACTAAATTTTTGGAAATTTATTTACATTGTTCTTCTATCTGATCAGCCACTACCCATTTTATAAGAAATAATTTGAGATTCATCTCCCTAAGGAAGCCTAGCTAAAACAAAGTGCAATTATCATATGACACTATATATATTAATCCAGCTATTGCCACTGTTATATGTAAGTCCCTAGGGGCAGAGTCCATCTATTATCATTTATTATAGTGTCCACAGAGTCAAACACAGGATTTGTTACACCATAATTTTTCAATACATGTATGTTACATTAATGTCTAAATATTTTTTCTTTTTCTTTAGAATTTTCTGTGCATTTCAAATTTTTCACAAACATAGGTTAAATATATTTTATAATCAGAAGAAAACAATATAGAACAATGAAAACCTCTACTTAGAAACTGACCTATTCTCACTTGCTGTTTCTTCTGGCATTATCCCTTCTTTTGACGAGATTTTTATTGCATATCTTATTTTACCTTATCTCCTTAGATGCTAATCTTCCTTTTAGTACATAAACTTTTCAAGTAAGAGAACAAAATTGTTTTTGCAGAGTTTTGAACGAAAGTTATAAACATTGGAAAATTTCTCTCAGTGGTAGACTGTTACTAAATAATTAGATGCAGTGCACATCTGTATGCATCTCTTCAAGTATGTATTTAAACACTATTTAAAAGGCAGCCATCAAGCACAAATGCTAGCTCTTAAACCTTTAGTAAACTACATCAGATTTTTTACTCTTTCCACTTCACCAGCAGGGTGTTGTTTATGTTGGTTATTTAAATATATATGCATATACAATGAAAAAATGTAGTTAAAATGGATACTTAGTTTCTCTATAATCTTCTACCTACAAGAGACTGCTGAGTTATGTTTAATCACAAAGCACATAGAAATCATTTTGTGAGACGCTATAATGCAATCTGTGTTTTCTTTACTTCTTCAGTTTTATTTAACCAATTTATATTTTCTTTTCATTGACTGAGAGACAAAGGAAGAGGAGATGGTTGGTTTTATAGCAATCTCTACCCAGTGTTAAAGAAAAATATTACCAGACCAGTTAAAGAGTCAAGGGAGGCTTTATTCAACACTATTGTGAAGGAGAAAGAATGACTCCACTCCACTCAAACAGAAGTTGGGTAAATTCTTAAGCACCAGGGGAAGCTACTGGAAAAGTACTGGAAGACAATGATGTTATCAAATAGGTTGTGCAATGTTATTAGGCCATTTGTGTTGCTAGTTGGTATTTATCTACAACTCCTATCATTTCACTGAAACTAGGAGACAAGGGTTCTTTCTTTCCTATTACTTTTCAAATTGATGATTCCCAGATACTTGAGACAGATATTACATCATCAGCAAATAAAAAATTAACATTTGCAATTTTTCTGAAGTAAGTGCTCCAAGAAAAGATTGGTCAGGGGCCTATAGTCAGGAAGACTTTAGTAAAGTTGAGATAAATTTTAAATCTTCTTGATCACCAGGCTGCAATTTATCACTCCTGAACCACACCTTTCCTTTGACTTAAAACAAAACCAAAACAAAACGAACAAAAAAATTGTTTCTTTATATCCTTGAGTTTATATATCTTATATCAATGCAATGCTTATGATTACACTTTACTCAGAAGCCTAATACATATTTACTTTATTCAGTTGACAGGATTATGTAAACTGAACCCATATTGACTGAGAAGACCTCTGGAAAATTATGACAAAGACACAAGGGGTATAGTTCAAGAAATGCAAAAGATTTAATAGCATTTGGGCTGAAGTTCTGAAACCAAATCTCATTTCTGTTCAATGGTACTTTTTTCAGGGTTCCCTCATAACTACATAAAATCCAGTTGCAACTCTAATACATGCTAAATAACCATTTTAAGTCAAATTCTTATTGCTCCTTGTCCTAGAGTGTATATCTTGATTTCTTGTTTCTACTCCATGTTGGGTTGTATTCCTTTCAACATGGCAGGGTTTCCTATTTATCTGTAGATAGAGAAAAACAAAACAAACAAACAATATTATTTTTCATTGATCTTATATGACTATAGTAACTATATTTTTTGTGTTTCAGAATTATTTTTCTATACACTTAATCTCTAAAGTCTTCAATAAGAATATCTTTTTTTTTGTATTATACTTTAAGTTTTAGGGTACATGTGCACATTGTGCAGGTTAGTTACAAATGTATACATGTGCCATGCTGGTGCGCTGCACCCAGTAAACTATCGCAAGAATAAGAATATCTTGATAAAACAATAGGAAATTAAATAAATCTTCACACTAAATAATTTTTTGAACAATTACTGTTTCCAACTTTGTTTTCTTTAAAATGCTTGCTATTTTTATTTTAATGATAAAAATAAATATTTTAAAATGACTGTAGATAAAATAATTTAATATTCACAAATAAAATAATGAGACATTGCTTAATTTTACATACCATTAAGTAACAGAGTGGGGACTGAAACTCAGAAATGTTGCTCTGATCTCTCCTGTGTACTCCAATGGTGCATTAATCCATATGGACTGTTGTAAAAATATGCTATAAACTAGGTAGCTTGTCAATAATAGAAATTTATTTTTTGACAGTTCTGGAGGCTGGAAGTCCAAGATTAAGGTGCTGGCAAATTCAAGGCTAGTGAAGGTGAAGGCCTGCTTTCTGGTTCATAGATGGTTGACTTCTACTGTATCCTCACATGGTGGTAGGTGCAGACTAGCTCTCTAGGGTCTCTTTTGTAAGGGCACTAATCGCGGTCCTTAGGATTCTGCTTCATGATCTAATCACCTCCCCAGAGCTCTACCTTTTCATACCATGTCTTTCAAGGTTAGGATTTCAACATTAAATTTTAGAGGACACAAACATTCAGACCACAAGAAATGATTTAAAAAGAGTTGGCAAAAGTATGTGTGCAGCCTAAGGGGAAACAATGTTAACAAGTAAATAGGGCTGAGTCAATCGTTTCAAAATATTGGCCTGAGAAAATGCTTTCAGAGTCACAGTAAGTGAATCTTAAATTTATATTTAGAATACAACAGTGTGACCTAGAGCCTGTTTGACTTGCAATTTTCTGTAACGTTGAAAGTATAGTTATTTGAACATTATTTGGTTACATTTATTCTGTTTTATCCTAGGTTAAAGAAAATTAAAACCTTGGGTAGGAGTCAGTTGTAATGGACATGACTTATTAAGATTATAGGCATATTTACTAGTTTATTTTTACTTGACTCACTCATTTGTTAAAATATGATTGTGCAGTTTCACATTCCCCCAAACTTTCTTTGTAGGGAGGCACATATTTTTGTGGTATACCATTTATATATCTTTATTATTTTATTATTCAGATTTTATCCACTCATGCAAAGAGAAGTGTTGGACAAATTTGTAACTAATTTAATTAATTTATGTATTCACTCTAAAAAATTTGAACCAATAAAACCACTTTTATTTTGAACAAGTTTATTTATTTTGATTACCTAAATAATAGTCCTTACCACCTATTCAAATTTGCTTACAGAGAAACCGCATTTTGAATTAAGAACCATGATTTTATGGGGTAGAATTTTCTTCAAAAACAATAGAAGAAAGCATTCTAAAATTACAAAGCTCTTTTATTTTAAATGCTTTTCTAAACAATGTTTTATTTTTATACCTAATTTTAAAATTCCTTTCTCATATGGATTGAAAGCTTGTCAGCCAAGTTTTAGTCCAAAAAAACCTTTACTGTAAAAATATAATTTTAGAGCGAAAATTTTGTGGATATGTATCTATATTCATGTTTTGATTTATTTATATAAAATTATATAATCATTGGCATAATTCTACCTAAGTCCACCCAAAGATATCTTTTATTGGTGTTTTAATTGTATAAGTAAAATTTTACTCCACCGATGGTTATTGTACCTGTTATAGCTGTGCATTTTAAGGCAAAGAAACAATTTGCCCTCTGCTAAGGAACCACAATAAACCCTGATATTAGTATAGCAGTATATTTGCGGCTTGAAAAGCTAAAAGTTTGCACATTTTATACAGATTCTTTACATTATTATAATATAACTCCTTTCGTTTCCTTCTACAATAGTGAAAAATAAATTTGTATTAAGTATACATCTCGTATTTATCAATTTCAGTAGAGAAAAGTGGCTTTTATGGCATTGATCCTGAAACATAAGCCGGTGAGCTCTGTTACCATTGAATATTTATATGCATCGTATCAAAACATCATACAGACAGAATATACAGCACCCAGAACTCAATTTCTTTATGACGTTAATGACCTGTATTTAAATGTATTCCGGCATTATTCACAATAGCAAAGACTTGGAACCAACCCAAATGTCCAACAATGATAGACTGGATTAAGAAAATGTGGCACATATACACCATGGAATACTATGCAGCCATAAAAAATGATGAGTTCATGTCCTTTATAGGGACATGGATGAAATTGGAAATCATCATTCTCAGTAAACTATCACAAGAACAAAAAACCAAACACCGCATATTCTCACTCATAGGTGGGAACTGAACAATGAGATCACATGGACACAGGAAGGGGAACATCACACTCTGGGGACTGTTGTGGGGTGGGGGGAGGGGGGAGGGATAGCATTGGGAGATATATCTAATGCTAGATGATGAGTTAGTGGGTGCAGCGCACCAGCATGGCACATGTATACATATGTAACTAACCTGCACAATGTGCACATGTACCCTAAAACTTAAAGTATAATAAAAAAGAAAAAAAAAATAAATGTATTCCTAGGGTCTCTGTGATCATAAGCCTTCGGTGACACATTGTTAAAACAAACAAATCACATGAACGATGTATAGCTCATTCATTATTAAAATGCCTCTAAGAGAACAAAGTTATTATCCTTTCACAATAGCGATATATTACATCCAGATGTATAACAAAACCATATCTCTTAAGACCACTCTTAGAATATTTTTATAGAAAGAACAATTTCCATTGCATTTCAGCTAAATAAAATGAAGTTGATATTATTCATAAAAGCCAGTTGTAGACATTTTTTGAGATACCTGAATTCTGAAGTGAATATGTACTTGTTCATTCCATATCTATTACTTAGGCATCTATTCATTTCTATTTTTTCCCTTACATACCAGATGGGCTAATTGGCTCTTCAGCATTTATTTAAAAAAATACTATGTGGGCAGAATTTTAGTGTCTTGGCAGAGTATGATAGGACATATAGTTGAAAGGGAATTTTATTCAGGACAAACTGCCTCTTGTTTGCACTTAAAATAATTTTAATACACAATTTATGTTTAATGCAACATAATTTGACACAGAAACTCTCTGATTATAAGATTGAAATGATAAATTTTTTGTCCGATTAAATAGAGCTAATTTTGGAAAATATAAACTTTCCAGTAAGTTATAACTTACTTGTGTTATTTTAGATAGCTTGAGATAACTGAAATTAGAGGTTAAGTAAACTCTTAATATAGTATGCATAATGGTTCTTTTATTCTTTTATCTTTGATATCATGACCTGCTAAATGAAGGACAAAAACTGAGTTTAGAAATGTCAGAAACAGCATTAGCAAAATTTAGTATCCATTCACATTTTTAGGTGCTACATTTACCTGCATATCTTCCATTCTGTCATTTTAAGCTCATCAATCAAATTTTATCATTTTTTCTTCCTCTTATTATACATATCATATTATTATCTCATCATCAGTGCTTTCCACTGTAAATGCTATTTAATCATGTTTATGAAACCAACAGGGTTAATCCTAGCTGTGTCTATAGACCAAGATAGTCAGAAAACTTTCCTCCATTATGCAAAAAGAAAATTGTCTATATTATTAAAAAATAATGTCTTTATATAAATGGCATAAATATGTGGTACCCATGAAAATATCCCTCTCAGGCTTCATAGTAGTGCTTGCATAGTTGACTGATGGCCCCAGCTGCTGCACTCTACATTCCATTGCCACATTGATGTTGAGGCCATACTTCTCCAGGGCTGCTCTCAGGCAGTGAATGTTTGTAGATGGTGAAATGCTTTGAATATTTGTTCCTTCCAAAATGTATGTTGACATCTATTCCCCAATGAGAGGTGGGGCCTTAAAAGGGTGGTGGGGTAAGGAGGGCTCTACCTTCATGAATAGATTACTCCATTAATTAGTTACTGAATTAATGGATTAATTCATTCATGGGTTATTGGATTACTGGATTACTGAGTTAATGAATGAATAGATTATCATGGGAGTCAAATTAGTGGTTTTATAAGAAAAGGAAGTAAAATATGAGCTAGCATGCTCAGTCCCTTCCTCGTGCAATACCCCATGCTTCCTTGGGACTCTACAGAAAGTCCCTACAGCAAGAAGGATCTCATAAATTGCAACCTGAATTTCTCATTCCAATAACTGTAAGAAGTAAATTTATTTTCTTTACAAATTATGCAGTTTCAGGTATTCTGCTATAAGCAAAGAAAATGGACTAAAACAGATGGCATAATAAGGTAGGCTAGTTTCTGTGAGACACAGAACCCCTCTGATGGACAACTTTGGCTTAAAGACTTGGCATTGCAGAAAATTTCTTAGAAATGCACTGCAGTCTGAGTCTTCCATGCAACCTTTTTTCTTCTTCTTTTCTCTTGTCAATGAACAGACCTGTAACAGGATCTAATGGCTCTCACAGCATTCATTATGTACCTCCCTATTTTCCCTCACTAGCATTTCATCCAAAAAAATCTTGTACATATAATCCTGTCTTGTCATCTACTTTTGGGAGGACCCAGAAAAACACAAGTGGATATGTGAAAACAGATATTAAGATTGGAATTTGGGACCAGCTCACTTATTAGACACAGGCAAAAAGAACACCATTTAAGTTGTTAGGTGATGCAGGGGAGTCTCTTGCCTAAAGTAGGGCCCCAGTTGCTAAAAATTTTACCAAAGGTGCCTTGGAAAATATTCAGGTTGAGGGGAATGTTTTTACAAGTGCGATCATCTGGGCATTTGAATGATAATTGGGTAAGTAATGCATACAGCTACAGTGGAGTTAGCTGACTACCAAGTTGTATTTAACCTCTTCCCTTCAAAAAATAAGAACTGAGGGTGACTTATAATCAGATAACGGCTACTTGTGTGAGAGTAAGGGGTTCCCCACAGTAGCTTACAAAACAGGCCTTATTTCTCCCCGGAGAAGAGCTGACAATGCTGAGCAACAGGATGTAAATACAATAGAGTTGCAAAGCTCAAGAGACATTTGAGTGTTCAGCCACTAGGATATCTTGAAGCACAGAAGGCATACCAAAAGTTACTAGGAATAGATGGGTCTACTCTTGCAGCCCCAGAACACTCACGGGGGTCTGCATACCAGCATGCTCAGAGGCATCCCTTTAGATAAACCCATTCCATGTTTTACAACCCCAGGTTTTCTCTACCAGACTATCGTCCTGTGCTCCAAGACACCACAGAGGCCTCTTCCAGCAGGAAACAAGTACATTGTTTTATCACCTCAAGACCTTTCTCAACCTCTTCTCTTAGCTCTCAGGCTGAAAAGTAGGAGTAAGTCTAAGCATAACTCACCTGGGAACATTATGGTCCTGAAAACGATTATGCTCTAAAAGGATTGTAAGAATTTGGTAACATGTACAAGCAAAAATCAAAGCAGTAATATTGAGATTGGGTTATGAGATTGCTTGACCAAAGAAAGCCTAAATATCAGAATGAATAAGCCAAAATGTATTAGGTTGGGGGTACTTTCTCAAGATACAGAATTTGACATTATGGAAAAGTTTCCGGGGGTGGGTCAAACTTGCTGCTGTGGTGGTAGCTCTTTGAAATCTGGAGGAGATACTGGCAAAGCCTAAAGTAGTGGAAATGCCCGAGTTGTCCTAGAAGGTAGTGAAGGGAAAATTAGAGAGGCTGAGGAAATTGGGCAATTGGGAATGAACGTTAGGCTAGAAAACTCATCAGAAGATTATATCACATGGGAGGGCCCAAAGAACACAACATTCACCAAGGCCACTAGAAAAGTGCTAGTGAGGGGGCACCAGCATCCCTGAGATGCTGTCATGTGTCTCTTCTGCAGTGCAGTACTGACAATGGGACAAATAGTCACAGAGCTGGGCTAATTAATACCCATATGGATAATACAGCCCTGTAGCAATACAAGCTAGGGAGCATCAGTTTAACATCAGGAAGCAGGAGGCTACAATTACCTAAAATACTGGCAAAGTCAGAGGACCAAGCAAGGGATCTTAACCTTCAGCTAGTTGTAGAGATGGCTAGAAGAGCTTGGTGTCCCTAAGGACAAAATAGATGAGATTAATATTTATAACATTAAAAATATCAAAAAGTCAAGAAGCAAAAAGTGAAAGTATAGTGATGAAAATGTCAGTAATATGTGCGATCTCTTGTCAAGTTTCTAATACTGAGGTAGTTTTCAAATCAGAAATCCACTGGGTCACTAGGTGATATTACACAACTATGCTATTGCAAGCATACACTACACTGGGAGAAGGGGGACATGGAGACATTTTGGGAGTTATTAGATAAAAGATCTGAGTTGACATTGGTACCTGCAGATGCAAAGCATCATTACTTCACTTCCACCCATATTAGCGTGAGCTTATAGGATCCAGAGAATAACTGGAATCTTAACTTCTGACCAAAGACCAACTCGCAGTATCCTCACTGGATTCATGAACATGCACCAGGATAATTTTCCCATTTTTAAAGGATATAATTAGAATTCATATACTTGGCAACTGGAGTAGCCCCCACATTATTCCCCTGACTTATGATGTAAGAGTGATCATAGTGGGAAAGCTGAATGAAAAACCTCTCAAACTGCCCTGTCCAAGATAGTAAATCGAAAACAATATTAACTCCTGGAAATGGGAAAATATTGAGGTAAGTAACTCTATTATATTGCACAAGCATGCAGGATTTGTGGTTCCTATCATGTTATATCTTTATGAAGTATACCAGTCTTGCCCTGCAGAAACTGGATGAACCTGGGAGAATGACTGTAGACTCTCACAGCATCAATTAAATAGTGGCCTTGGTCCCAGTTGTTGTGCTAAACATGGTATCATTTTAGAGCAGATTAATAAGATCTCAGGTACACGAGATATGGCCAGTGATTTGCAATTATATTCCTATATTCTATTCCTATAGAGTATACTTGCATACTCTATTCTAATGAGAAAGGAGTATCATAAATAACATACATTTAAGTGAAACACAAAAGAATATTTATTTACAGTTTTACCGCATGTCTAAGCAAATTCTCTCTCCCTATGTCATAATATAATCCAGAAGGATCTGGACTGCCTGGACATACTGCAGAATATCATACTGGCATTGTTGGTATCATGCTAAGTGGATGGGGCAAAAAATGTATGTATTGGTGCAAGGATTCCTTAAGATACAGTAGCTCCAAAAGGTGAGAGATGGACTCTATGAAGATTCAGGGATTACCTATTTTCAGTAATGTGTTTAGGAGGTCGAATGGTCAAGGGATGCCAGGATACCACAGTCAAAGCAAAAGAGAAATTGCTTTGTATGTATCTTCTACCAAAAAGAAGGAAACACAGAATCTCATTGGACCATTTGGGTTCTAGAGATAACACATTCCATGTGTAGATATGTGGCTCTAGCCTACATTCTGGGTAGCACAGAAGTCTGCCAGCTTCCAGTGAAATCTGGAGGAGGAAAGGGCTTCTAGTGAAGTCTGGAGGAGGAAAGGCTCTGCTGCAGGTACAGTTGCAACACAATAAACCTGTTGCTGGGACCATATTTCTGGCAGACCTTAAGGCTTGGGAAATGTCAGTGGTGGAAAAATACATGGTATACATTTTATGGCAAGCTCATACCCATGGACATAGAGGAGACCACATAGAGGAGATGACCAACAAAAACAACAAAAAAACATGTTGAGTTTAGATATGGTTTCAATGCAAACTATAAGTGGATGGTGGTTGCATTATAACACTATTCAGGGGTGGTTTTGAAAAGACATTGGAAGCTGAGCAGTAGCATTTGCCTGTAAGTCTAGCTACCCAGGATGCTAAGGCAAGAGGATTGCCTGAGCCCAAGAGTTTAGGGCTATAGTATGCTATGATCACATTTGTGAATAATCACTCCACTCTAGCTTGGGCAACATAATGAGACCCCATCTCTCAAACAAACAAACAAACAAAAAACAGTATAAAATGGTGAGGAGGGAAAATTTTTTCCATGCAGTAGATTCGCAACTGAGCTACTAGGAAACTGTTTATTCAGTTTGTGTGGAAAGAGAAGTGACCTGAAGTTAGTTAGAGTGTGAGTGTGCGTGTGTGTGTGTGCGTGTGTGTGTGTGTGTAGGAAGTGGGTAATGGTATGGTCACCTAGTTAGGGGTGTGGAAGAATAAAACCCGGAAATTCAAAAGCAAGGAGATCTGAGGGAGAGGCATAAAAATGAATGTATGCAAGTGAAGATAACATGTTAATATTTTTGCTTCACATATTAACACCCACGCAAAGCATCCATTCACTGTGGAGAAGGCACTAGACAACCTTCTAGTGGAGAAGGCAGTAGACAAAATGACTGAGTCAGTTGACATTATTAACCCTTTATCATTGAGTGCTCCAAAACCGATATAATGGGTATATGAGTATATGAGCATAGTGGCTACAGTGGCAGAGATGGCGCCTAGCATTAGCTTAATAGCATGGCCTCCAACTTACCAAGGTTGATACAACTTCACAGAAACAGAGAAATATGCTCTTCTAATGGAGACCAACCAGCTGATTAAGCCACCTTTATTGTACTCCTTCCGTTCTGGAAAGGCCACCAGTTTTTCCTAAGGATAGACACCTATTCCGGGTATTGATTTGCCTTTCCTACTGAGCTTCAGCCATCACTGCTATGTAGGTACTTATAGAATGTATGATACAGAAGCATATCATACCATCTAACCAGGAGACAGACTTTGCAGTGAAAGACATGCATGAGACAGACAATAACCATAAGATCCACTAGCTGTGTTGTATATCTCCCTATGCTGAAGCAGTCTGTCTCACACAATTCTAGGAAAGCCTTTTACAGCTGAAGCACCAGTTCAGAGGCAACCTGCTGAAAGGATGGGTGCCACCCTTCAGGGTGCAGTATATGCATGAAATTAGATACCTCTATATGGTGCATTGTTCCCAATAGAAAGAATATATAATCTGGCAATTAAGGGGGAAAGCACTAGTGTTTGCAATTACCATCACTTCCAATGATTCACTGGGAGATTTTGTTCTTTCTGTCCCTCAACTCTGGTCCCTATAGTTACCTTCCTGACAGCAGACACAGTACAGTTCCTATAGAATTATACATCACCATGCTGCCAGGGCACTTTGGACACATGTTCCGAGAGATTTGGAGACAAGAAGAGGAGTCACTGTCTGGCAGGAGTAATCAACCCTCATCTACAAGAGTTCATAGGACTGCTTTTCACAGTAGGAACAATAATAAGGATATTTGGATCTTTATTATATGTAAATTACCCAGTCTGTGATATTCTGTGACAGCAGCACACAATGAACTAAGACACTGTGTTGACATGTTTAAACTTTGCCGCTGTCTCACTTTCATTGACTCCAGGATGCTAAGACAGTGGTAAAGCTAATCATGGGAAGATAATTATCATCTCCAGAATTAATGATGTAGACCTCACTGTCTCTTATGGCAGCAAAACAAGAGGGTGAGGCATCTATATGCCCTGCAACTCCCTCTCCCCATTATACCTGTGAACAAATTCATACAGAAATCCCAACCAGAAAAAAAAATATATGGTATCCAAGAGTTTCAACCTCTGAGAAATAGAAGGATTGTGAAGGAAATAGAGAATGAGTTGCTGGTCTGAGATCAACTGCAGCCAAAGGGCTGTAGTTTATCCTGTCAATTCTTTTCTTATTTCTTCTTAGAAAGAGAGGCTCTGGGGGATCATGGAGTAGGTGGCCCGGAACTTGTTTGAGATAAGAAGTGTAGTATGGCGATAATGGAAATATACCATTCAAATCTCCTGTAAAAAGCGTAATTGACACTCTGAAGGTGTGTTGGCCTTCTGTGGGCACTTTTCATTTTTCCTCCCTGCCATTTCCCTCAGTAAACCTCTTGCACAGCTAATACTGTCTTGGTTATGCTTCTTGGAGGACCTATGCTATACTTTGATAGGCATTCAAGTATTTGTTAGAATTTCTTTACTTATTTTGTAGTTTTTTCATATCTCTATTTTTCTTTTTTTTTTCACATTTCTGAGTCTATAGTCCCCTTAAGTATTTAAACTAATCATGTAAATACAAAATGCTTGTTTCCTTCAGTGCCTTAACACTTTTCCTAGAACATTCTCAAAATAAACTAATTATAAGATGACCAAGTTATGCAATGGCATTGTAAAAATTACATTCAACTTTAAAAGTGATGATAATGTCAATGTACTTTCTTGGCTTCACATGTACTGTTTAATGGTGAGAGTTTCTATTAATGATGGATTTACATGAATGCATTTTAATTTGTAGAGATGGGGTCTCACTATATTGCCCAGACTGGTTTCAAACTCCTGGCCTCAAGAGATTGCCTACCTTGGCTCCACAAAATGCTGAAATTACAGATGTGAACCAACATATATGGGACATGGATTCATTTTTTACATTTAGAACACATCCAAAATATGGAAAATAAATGTATGGCCTGAAAAGCAAGGATATTTAGATAAATAAAGAGTAGTATAAGTCAAGTTTACTTTTGGACTGAGTTAATGGCTTATGGAGTATATGTTCTATTATATAACATCTTACTAAAGTTACTAGTTAATATTTTACAAATGTTAAAAATCAATTGATAATACATATACAACTGCTGTTACAAAAAGTCTCTGTTAATGTCACCAAAAAATCCTTTCTTGAATTATTTAATACATTCCACTACTATATACAAAGGCAGTTATTTAACAATAAAGAAAAATAAATAAAAACATATCCATAGGTTAAAAAATTAAGGTAACCCTTTTATGAATGATGCTAGATCAATATGTTTAACAATATCATATAATTTTAAACTTTAAGTGTATTCCAGCAGTGTGATGTAATTTTAGTTAACATATGATGTCATTCTATTCAGATAATAGCAATTTGTATTATAGATTGTTTTATATTATAAAGTTATTAATAAGTAGTAAAATATTAACATTTCTAAATATAACTATTTTTAAAAGACATTAATTAAATGTCAGCTATTGGTAGGAATAAATGTCTAAGATGTACATTAGGTTCATTATGGAGAACATATAGTCAAAATAATGAGCCTGGAAGTACTGAAAGGAATAAACAGACCAAGAACAGATACAGCATTTGAGGAAAAATGCTTTCATTTTTTTATATTTCTTAAAGCAACATTTGCATCATTTATGATCAGTTTAATTCATGGCTCTTCCCTACTTGTCAGAGGCAAGCATACATATATTATAAATAAATTATTAAGATAAAAATGGCATGGATATTTTAATGGTCTATTAAGAAACACCTTTGTTGTGTGATGATGCATGAAACTACTGTTGAAGTGTTGCCTGCAGTATTAATGGGGTGCTAAAATAAAATCCAGTAATAATGTTACGTTCTTCTAAATAATGTTAAAATTAAGTCAGCACTATGTGATCTGTCCTCTTAAAACAATTGATGCAATTAAACATTACATATTTGTATTATAATAGGTTTTCTATTTTCTTCTACTTTATAAATATAGGGTTAAGACAAAGAATACAAAACTATTTTATTTAAGCATATTAAACTTTTCTTTCATATGACAATCAGCATTAACTTTTATTAATCTTTTCATAAAAGTCAGATTATTAAAAATAGTTTTTTATTTGCATGCTTTAAAATACACCTTTAGGCCAGGTGCGGTGGCTCATGCCTGTAATCCCAGCACTTTGGGAGGCTGAGGTGGGAGGATCACTTGAGACCAGGAGTTGAAGACATGCGGGCAACATGGTGAAACCTCGTCTCTACCAAAAATACAAAAATTAGCCAGGTGCAGTGGCGCACCCCTGTCATCCCAGCGACCCAGGAGGCTGAGGTAGGAGAATCGCTTGAACCTGGGAGGTGGAGGCTGCAGTGGGCTGAGATCGTGCCACTGCACTCTAGCATGGATGACAGAGCGAGACTCAAAATAAAAAAAAATAATAAAATAAAAAACACCTTTAGAACTGTGACACAAATCCCATTTGACAATACAATTATACAGTTAAAAAACATGGCCTCAAGACAACATAACATTGACAGACCATGTGCATGTAGGTATCATTATGCCATAAGTTGTTTTTTAAAATTGAAATGAATGGTCTAATAATGTATAAACACTTACCCCTCACACTTGAAGTAACCTCTCACAGCCTGAAGTTCATAAACCATGAATTATTTTGACTTCATTAGCAAAAGTGATACTAGTAATGGTAATGGTGTAATTCACAGAACGTATTAGCCACATTCCATATTCCAAAAGTATATTCTCAGTGTCTGTACAAAACAACTACATAAATAGTTCAATATGTTAAGTTCAAAATATAAGAAAATTCTGTGGCTCTTTGAATGAACTAATTGGATTCTATTTTGATTTAATGAGTTTTTGAAATGGCTCTTGTCATTGCATGGGCTCTCAGATGATCTAACAAAACACCATTTGTAAGTTTGTAATAGCCTTAAAGGATGGCTATGAAGTCCTCCTTCTGCTGTTCTTTTATTTGTTATGTGTTATGCTCATGAGATTTATGTATGAAACCACTTGGAGCTCAGATGCCATATCTTGTGAACATTAGTAAAATTTTAATAAATAAAGAAGGAAGAACTTTGATCGATGTAGGAAATGTAAATTCAATTTGGGTCGGCTGAGCTTTTTCTTGCATCCAGCTTGGACTGAATGTTTTTCCCTCTTTCAAATGCTTCTTTACCTGCCTCACCCTCTTGTTTTGCTGCCATAAGAGACAGTGAGGTCTACATCATTAATTCTGGAGATGATAATTATCTTCCCATGATTAGCTTTACCACTGTCTTAGTGTCCTGGAGTCAATGAAAGGTGAGACAGCGGCAGAGTTTAAACATGTCAACACAGTGTCTTACTTCATTGTGTGCTGCTGTCACAGAATATCACAGACTGGGTAATTTACATAGAACAGAAATATATTTCTTGCAGTTCTAAAGACTGAGAAAGAGAAGACCAAGACACCGACATATTATCTTGGAGGGCCTTCTTGCTGTGTCTTCACATGGCAAAAATTAGAAAGGCAAGCTAGCCAAATGTTACATAAAGCCTCTTCTATGAGGGCTTTAATCCCATACCAGGGAAGAGCACTTATGGCCAAATTACCTCTTAAAGGCCCCACCTTTTCCTATGATGGTAGAGGAAACACTGGAATTTTGTAGGGGACATATTCAAACCATAGCAGAGACAATGAGCTGATAATTTGATTTCAAAGGACATGATTACCTCTGCTTTTCAGACTTAATTGCTGTGTTCTTGAGACAATTTGAACTTCTACTTTAGAATATGGAAATAGATGCTTCTGGCTTTAAAATGAAACCAAGTGGTGAAGTTACCTGGACAACCCCTTAAATATGGATAGAAACAGGAACCTGATAGAAAAAGTACAACTAATTTCAAACCAGCCATGTAATGCTCCTCTGTGCTGTGAAGGACGTCTAGCTTAAAATGTGATTCCCTTTTCCAAAATCCTCCCCTCAGAGACCTAGTTTGTTGTTTAATTTCCCTCTTTCTTAAACTTTTGAATTAGAAACATTTAAATGGCTACTGATTTAGCTTATAAGGAAATATGACTCTCAGACAAACTCCATGCTGGCAATATAGTTTTTATCTCATCATGTTGGTTGGAAAAACAGATAAATGATTGATTTGGGTAGAAATATCACCTTTTCTTCCATTACAAAAAATAAAAATAAAAAACCAATTTTGCAATGCTATGCTGCATCCAATCAAACTTAGAATGAGAAGAATTGAAAATGTATTTCTCCTTTTCATTTTTACAATTTTCATTAATCTATCATCTACGTGATATTCACAATATTATTGTAGCTCTCTTGTTTTCCTTCCTTTCTTCTTTATGACATTGAATTAGCATCTGAGAAATTAATTGCCTCACCACTCTGTGCCAGCAGTTCTGTTGTCTGATATTGGCCCCTCTGTCCAAGATTGTTCTACTTACATCACTGAGCAAAGAGCAGCATACATCTTTTCAGTGTTTGCTTCCTGACAGCTCTTGTCTTCAATTATAGCAAAACAGAGCTTTGAGAGGCTCTATTAAATAGAATTACTGAGTTTGTTTCTGCTTTTGCAGTACATAAACAAGCCTGAAAAAATATGTATATGCTGAAAATCCTATCTAGTATAATTCCCAGGTATGTTGTCCCAAATGATTTGCTTTTGAATTGTGAATTCCGTTTCTGTGGGGTAGGGACATAATCTGAGGTTCAGACACAAATTGTTGATGTGAGAAATAAAATTGTTGCCTTAATGAATCAATACAAAGACACTGTCTTAATTTGAGCAATAGGAATCCGTTATTATGGGACTGAATGAATGAATATTGGAAAACTAGCGCAGGAGGTGGAACTTTAAGTCATGGAAACAAAAACTAAATCTGGCTAAAATTCAGCCACAAGCAATAAAATTCGGCCTCAAAGTCCTCTTGACTTTATTGTTCTTGCTGTAAACCTTTCCTGAGGGTAAAGTAGGTAGAAAAATAAATGAAGACAACACTCTTGGGCAGATGCGTCTATTTAGCTAATTAATAATCCAATTTTTACCAAGAGGCAAAACAAATGAGATGTTTGGCTTTTACTTTTACCAGTATTAAAAATATAGCTTAAGAAATTTAAAAGAAGAATCTAAAATTTGGTGCTATAAGTTACTAGTAATTACAGGATGTGCTATTATTTTGTTTGATTTCCTGTCTTTTTGTTTTGTTTTTAGAAACAGTATAAAAAGTAAAATTTTACTTTATATTTTGGAAAAGTAAATTTTTTTACAGTGACATTTGAACTATGCTAGTCCATGAAATGCAGATCTGTCACTCAACTCCCTAGGTTTCACTCATTTGTGAAAGAGTGATATCTTCTTTACCTTATTCTGGAGATGGCAGAGGCTAAGCCAAGTGTGACTTACAAGAACTTGCTATTTTATATGCTACAAGGTGCTGGGGGTGACGGTTGTGAACATTCTGGGCAACATAAATAATACGTAAATATCTGCACACTCTCCAATAAGCTGTAACTGGAGAGGTTTTCCATAAACAATAAAACTAACATAGTATATTGCCTGATGCAGAATAAGAAATATGTGATTGTCCTAATATGCCTCTTGGGCTTTTTTAGTTCACTAAAATGTTTTTAGTGATTCAAAATTATCTCAGCTGAAAATTATCTGCTGCTCCATAAGGTAGAAGAAAAAATTATTTTCTGACATTTCTCCCTTTCTCTGTTTTGTCTTTTTTTTAATTGGCCAAGTAGTGTACTCTTTAAAGAGATAAAGATGGGTAAATTGGAGGAAGAGTTTCTTGAAGCTGGCAGTAATGAAGGAAGCTCTGTCTCTGAACTTAGATTTAGAAAGAGCGATTCTTGTGCTCCCATTCTCATAAAAGAGATTGGTTGAGGATTAAATCAATCTATTCCTTGAAGAAAAATAAGGATGCTTAATCTGAAGCAGGTTTTTCAAAGATTTATCAAATAAGAATCTATTCAGACTTAATGGGATTATTATGAAGACCAGTGAGATAGTATACTTTAACACTGTTAGATTCCTCAAGGAGGAGCATATTGAAGTGAGTAAAAGTACTATTATTGTGAAGTCATAGAATGCCGTAAAGCTAAAATATCATTTCTCAAAACCACTTCTTGCAAACTGTGAAACTATAAGCACAGCCGTTTCTACACTTTCTTTTTAAATCCAAGGAAAGTGCAGCCAACTAACTACTATTTAATAAAAGTAATAGAAGCTCTTTCTTTTGCAGAAAACATTTTTTATCTACCAACTGCAGAGAAGGAATATTAATATTGATTCAGACTCAGATATGAATCCTGACCTCAAAAGTACTGAATGTGATTTGCCTGTATGTGCATTGGCCCCATGGATTATGAATTCTGACTTTTTTCCTTGATGATGACATTTTAAATAAAAGAAGTTTGAGCTTTCTATAGTAACACTGAAGACTTGTATATTTTCAAATGCTTTTGCAACAGACTGTAAAGGACAGAAAACTAGATCTTTATTCACAGTAATTCTGTACAACACTATTCTATGTACTATTAGAATTCATTTCCTCAAAACAATTTTGGTGAAATCAAAGTGGTAGAATATGGTAAATATATGTTTTTCTTAGCCAACGATATAGATGAGATCCTGAGGGTAAAATGAGGAGATTCATAGATAATGACATGCATTACTTTAATTTTAAAAGAAGCTTTCTGGTCATAACAGCGTATTGATTCTAAAGCATGTGGGTGCCAAGTGCAGTTAAAATCAAAGAACTGTATATTTCTAAACGCCCTCTATGAATTTATGTGATTTTAAAATGTAATACTTCTCTAAAATGAGCGATTCTTTGTGATATCAAAAACGCAAATTTAAATAACACAGTTTTCAAGTTCGGCCATGTTAATGTTGAAATGATATTTATTACTAGCCAAAATTCTCATTCCAGTTTCAAAAACATTGTGAGCAGATTATTTTTTGTCTTTGACACCTCCCTAAATTTCTTCTTGGTGATGTACAGGCTGTATAGCGCATATTGTTTGTTGAAAATGACCCATGCACTCAAATATAAACATATGCATTTCTTTAAAGTTCACTTTTTTTGGTCTCAAATCAGTTATTCTCTTCCCCCAACCCCATTGTTTTTTCTTTCTTTTCCCTTCAGTTTCTGTATTTTTCTCATTTCTTTTCTCCCTTGTCTTGTTTCCCTTTCCCACATATATTGACTATTGAGAAATTTAAATTAACCACGTTATCCCTAAGTAGATCATGGGCCTTTAATGTATAGAGACATACCAGTATATCATTTAGGTACTTGATTCCCACTGATGCTGTATTGACTAAAAAGTGCAAAACCAAAGAGAATGACCCGTTCAAGAGAGTCAAAAAATGTGTACACATTAAAACAAAAATAAATTCAGCCACTTTCACCCCATAAGGATTTGATGAAAATAGAGTATAATTTGAAATGTGGTTCTTAAAATTTTTTAACAAGGTCTATAGTGTTTTCATTACTTCACTTATCAACTCTCCACACTCTTGAGGTGCTGCCCTGGTTACTGTGACCCTAGTAGCTTTAAGAAAGAATGATTTTTTTTTGCTTGTGAATGTGTGTTCTGTGGTGATTTTAATTATTTAAAATTATGTTGCAGAAATAGTTCACCTGTAGAGACTGACCAAGTGTTTGGTTTCAAAAAATGTTCTGGCCCCAAACTCCTTTGGGTTTTGCCTTTTTCACTTTTTCCTTTATGTAGTAAAATTACTGTATGATTTCTAGAATTTGCATGATTAATTATGCCTTTCAAAGTATCATCAGCTTCCTTTAGGGGTTTTGATTATTTATGCATTATCATTGGCTTTTGGTGATAAACAGTAAAATTGCTTTATTTTGTAGATCCTTCAGGAAATTATGCTTGATTATATGACCCCACAAAGTATCCCTTATTGTTTATAATTAAGGATCAATGAGAGGAAAATCATAAGAGCCAGCTGGCAGTTGAAATAACTAAAGGTGAACAGAGGTAAGTTGGAAAATTGTCACTAGGGGATTGATTCTCTCTTGTGTGCAGTTTAAGATGCCCTCCTGCCTACATCCTTCTTTGTCCCTCTGCCCATTTAACAAACACTGATGGAATAACTGTTATGATAGATCTATACAAGACAAAGGAAATACAGGAAATTTCATTAGGAGCCCACAAAGCAGACAAATGAACACACAGCTGAGGGATCTGATGGGCACAATTACTGTAAGGAAGATGAAGGGCTTCTGGGTATCTCCTGTGACAACTAGGACACAAGATGTTGTTGAGTTTCTCTGAGTGCTTTAGAAGCTTCTGAAATGTTCTCTAGGGCAAAGTGGCTTGAATCAGCCCAGTGCAGTATTCAGTAAACTAGACAGATATATTTCTTTCACAGATATTAATATCTGTTAAATTTTGTGCTGCCTTTGATTTTATGTGGCAAAAGCAAATAAAAATTTAGGCACTTAAGGTTATGAAATCATTACATTAATATGGAAGAGACTTTATTCTGATTAGAACTTATTAGCAAATATCACTTAAAGTGCAACCTATAACATGATACAAAATTTCTTAGATATCAAACAATAACAAACTAAGTAGCAAAGTGATATTTTCAAGAAGTTAAATAAATAAATGCTGCTCTATGGTCTATTTTATGAAAGAAAATTATGGAAGAGGTATTTTAAAATAGAATTTGTCTGATAGGTAAAACAGGTATGACCCATAAAAAAAAGAAAACTCATTAAGTAAGGAATTTCAAGAAATAAATATCTTTATATCTTTCCCAAAAGGAATATGGAGAGACCCTAGTGGAAAGCTAAAATAGAATGCACTGTGAAATTAACTAGTATGGCTGGAAAAAGAGAAAGTATAGAAAATTAGTTGTGTTAATAACAATAATTAGTTTTAAAGTTATATTCCATATGTACCAGTTTTCAATTTATTTTGCCTAATTTTATTCTGCTTATTATAACCCTGCTGTGGATTACCATCACATTTCTTGTTGGGGAGGCAACTGTCACGTGGAACTGAGGCTATTCATCTCACTTATTGAATCATAACAATTATACCATCTTAGCAGGAGAGCTGTAGAAGATAGTTGTGTACGAAAATTTATATCAAGAAAGATGGACCTAAAATGAGTAGACTTGTAGCCTTAAAGTTATGATTTGATAAACATAAAAACTCAACACATCCAATTCATTCGTGGGATTTCCTGCCACTACCTTTGACCTATATCTAGAATCTGAGCATGTTTTACCATTTCCATCATTGCCACTCAGCAGATACCTGTGGCCATGTCTTAAATTATTGCAATCCCCTCTGGACTGGTCCTTCTGCTCTCTCTCATATGCCGTTATAGATTGTTCACCCATTAATATGTAAGTCTAAGTACAACATGTGGCCACTTATGCCACTCAGGGTAGAAGCCAAAGTCTTCAGAGTGACCTGGTCCTTTGTCATGTCCCTAGCCTCCTCCTTTCCCACTCTCTTTGTTGTTCTGTTCTCTCTAGCAACAAGCTTGTAAAAGATGAAGCAAACTCCTTCCTCAGGACTTTTGAGGCATGCTGTTTCCCTTACCTGAGGTATTCTACTCCCAGATACTTGTTTGTATGCTTCTTTACCACCTTAAGGCCTTTACTTTAATATACTGTTGGTTCCTGGTTGTTAATGCAGTTTAATAATTTTGCTTAATGTTTAATGTTTTATTACTTTCATTAAACTACAGTTACATATTATGATAGAAAATCAAATGATATCATCTCACTAGATCTAATCAATTAAGTTCAGGTTTTAGGATGACTCAAATGGTAAAAAAAGATTGATAACCTTAAACACCCATTCTATGTTCTACTCCATTTATGTATTAATTCCTGAGTTCCTGTATATAGAATCAAGACATAAGTAGAATTCAGGATGTCATCATACAAATATGTACAATAATTTTTAAAAGGTTATATTATCAATGTCAATAATTAGTCATACGTATAATTTTAAAACAAATGAGCCATAATTTTAAAATATATAATCCCTTATAATTTGAAATCAGTACAAAGTGATTATGCATTTATACATGTTATTAAGTTTTTAATCTTATTATACATTTATTTATGAATATCTCAAACTTCCTAAGGTTTCAAGCTGTATAGAAAATAGATTTTTAAGCCAAACTATGCAGTTCAATGCATCCATTAGTGAGAATTTGAGGCCATTAAAATTTTACTCAAAACTTTTTTTGTTGACTAAGTTTTTATTTGTACTTTTTTAGGTAACATGTATAATTTCCTTAATTTAGGGGAGGAAGACAGTATGTGATATAAATATATGTAGTGGTCATTAAAATCTCCAAATACTAATTTTCAGTTTTAACAAATTCTTTGCCTTCAAAGTTCAGTTTTTTTAATCCTAAATATGCCCTTGCTTTAGCTGTTACATGTATAGGCAACATGAAAAAACATGTTTTAACTAATATAGTCAATTGTTCCTACTAACTAACATGTAAACATAGTCATCTTATAATAAGCTGCCATCAGTAAAAAAACTTCGGGTTGACATTGTCCACTATATTTTTAAATGTGTTTTTATTGTACATATTTGAGAAGTACATGATGTTTTAATGCATATATGTAGTGAAATAATTACTGCAAACACTTTTGCATACCCTACTCTATTTTTTGAGTAGTTCTCAGGTCTCATATATATTTGTGTCAAATGAAAGGAGAAAATAAAAGTGATCTCTGTGTGAACCCACAAAAATATAAAACCCTTCACTATTCTCCCATAGTCAAAGTCCCTTGGTGATTTTCTCTGAAGGCTTGACTCACATCACCTGATATACAAGGGCATTTATATTTCTAGTCATATTTCTTGGCACTTTCAGAAATTATAGTAAATGTTTCTCCTGTTTATTCCAGAAAAAACACCATTCATATTTTAACCATTTTTTAAACTGTTGAATTTTTATCTTCACACTTCTTGCACTTACTGCTTTATTGTTTTAATGCACATTTGGTGTAAATATCCTATTTAAATGGAATAGGTAATATTGTTCAAGCATGCTTTTATCATAGTCTTTTTTCTCTGTATTTTTGGAATTTTTGCATTCATAGGTACAAACAATATTTAAATTTATTGTATTATAGAATTCAAATTAATTTAACATTTTCTTAACCCAACCATCTTTCGTTTGTCAAAAGAGTTGAGTTATTTTTCAAACAGGTTTGGTTGACTATAACCCCACTTGCTTTTTCTCTGAACAAATTGAATTTTTAAAAATTCATAGGGGAATGGCCTTTTATTCTTTATTCATTATTTATGAAAAGTAAAAGTATTATCTTTATGATAGTGATCCATAAAACTTTGGGTAAAATTGCAAATGAATCTTCAAGTGAAATAAGATACAAATATTTGAGTGTGAAATTGAAACCTGTAGTGAAAAGGACTTTGACGTAAAGGAATTTTTTTTGTTGTTGGTACGAGAACACCAAACCAAACCAAACCTGAACAAACAACAAAAAACGAGACTATACAACACTGGATCTATATTCAAACATGTTACCCCATTATTCTGTTATATTAATGCTCTTTAATACAGTCCCAGAACATTGAGGCCAGTAAGTGTAGAACTCAAGTAGACTGAAAAAAAAAAATGTCTGTACCCTTTACTAGTCCTTTTCTAAAATTAACTCTGAATACTCAGATTTAACTCATATATAATACTTCTGGAAACATTTGTTTTTTTTTTTTTTGAGACTATTTGTTAGGCAAAGGATTAGGTATGTTAGATTTCATAGAATAATATCAAAATAATAAAACAGCACAAGGAAAATCACATAATTTAAATATGTTAACATGAAATTAAAACTTTTTATTAGTTGCTATCTCATTTACAACTAAAGATGCTTTTATTAGTTGCTATCTCATTTACAGTTAAAGATGCCGTGAACACATAAGGAATGTGGATACATGAACTGTATTTCATGAGCTTTAAATCATTCAAAAGAAAAACTGTAACATTTTATATATATATGTATAATATATGTGCTCATTTAAGTCAGAATATATATATATGTATATATACACACACATATATTCTGACTTAAATGAGCATCACTCTCAGTTGGTAAATTAGTATTTTCAATATTTACTCAGTACATTTCTTTAAAATGCCTTTAAAACTTGTTTCTAACTGCAAATATAATAATAAAAATAGAATAATTGTTATCGTGGTTCAATTATGGGTGTTTCCTTTTTTTCTGCAAAGTTTTATCTAAATATGTTTTCACAATCTTAATTAATAATAAAGAATGACTGAGATGTTGGGCAATTGGGGAAGGATGTTACGTACAATTACTTACTCATTTGAATCAATGGTATTAAAAGATTGTGTGTCAGTATTCCAAATCAGAACAGCTTTATCCACAAAGCAGGAAGTGAGCATAAACTTCTTCACATTCATTTTTACCCTTCTCCAACCTAAAACCCCTCACCATTACATTTCCTCTTTTATTCTCCCTAAAAGACCATTTATTCACACCTAAATGGGGATAATAACAGTAATAGCAATTTTTTTTTTTTTTTTTGAGATGGAGTCTCGCTCTGTCGGCCAGGCTGGAATGCAGTGGAGCAATCTCGGCTCACTGCAAACTCTGCCTACTGGGTTCAAGCAATTCTCTGCCTCGGCCTCCCGAGTAGCTGGTATTACAAGCGCCCACCACCACGCCCGGCTAATTTTTGCATTTTTAGTAGAGACAGGGTTTCACCATCTTGGCCGGGCTGGTCTTGAACTCCTGACCTCGTGATCTGCCCGCCTCAGCCTCCCAAAGTGCTGGGATTACAGGCGTGAGCCACCTTGGATGGCCAATAGCAAATATTTTTATAACATTTATTATATTACAGACCCACTGTAAAAGCATTGCATGAATTCGCTCCTTCAGCCTTCACACTAATCCTAAGGGGCTGGCTTTGTTATTTTCTCCATTTTTCAGATGAGAAAAACAAGGCACAGAAATGTTTTGTAAGTTGCATAACGTCACCTATCCTTTCAAGAGGAAAGACCACTTGAACCCAGCCAGTCTGGCTCCACAGTGCCTGCTCTTAATCACGATATCAGTACTTCCCAAGTGCATTACCCCCAGATCTTACTGAAATGTAGACACTAATGAACAGATCTATGCTAGAAGCTCCCCTTGTGCATTTCTAATAAGCTCCCAGGTGCTGCTGCTGCTCTGCAGAGCAGATGTCAAGCAGCAAAGCATTACACTATGCTATCTGTGTATGTTAGGCATGGGTAGAACAAATGTGAAATAAGAAAGGACCCTTTTCTGTCATGAAGGCTTTCCATGGCATCGTGCTCCTCGGTGCGATCTATGTATAATCTGTTAACACTATTTGGAAAACAAATAAACACAAATTTGCCTTCAAAACAAAAACAAAAACTAAACAAGCAGATGGTTTGAGGTGCCTGGCATTTAGGCAAGATACATCTGTCCTCATTGCACTTGGTATATTAGCACGTTGTCCTATAATTAGTTCATTTTAATTTTTGAGGAAAAAGAGTACTCTCAATATGGACTAAAGGCATAGTCTATGTCCATGTAGGCTTTTGAAAGTTTTTGTTAGGCAAATTATTGGAAGAATTTAATGTTATTATAAGACAACCTTCAAAGCCAGCTGTGAGATTATATAAGATGTCTCATGTCTTGTCTCTTCTAGGCTCTCTTTTAAATAATTCAAAATTTTCTCTAAAATGAACTTTTATATTCTTCCTAGGATTTGGAATTTCTTTAAGGCTATTCTAGTGTAGTAGAATTTTTTTTCTGGAAAGTATATATTTTTTAATAATTTTGGGGATACGTGTAATTTAAATCACCTTCCTTTAACATCCAAAAAACCATAGGAAAAGGATTTAGCTGAAATATTTATATCCTTTTTTTAAAAAGATTGCTTCCATTTAGAGGGGGTGATTTTTAGCCTTGTCCTATTCTAGGCTTTGGCTTTTTGACAGTCTTTTTATTGATTCCTTGGGATCTTTCAGCATTCTTTACAATTTCTCTAAAGCTTTTACTTTAGAGATTTGTTATTTTGACAGGTGATAAGCAGTTCTTAAATTTATTGTGTTTTATATTTGATGACCTTGGTTAGCTCTGACACATGCTTCTCTTTGATACATTAAGACTTTTTATCTTTGGGTGGTTTTTGCATAATGTGTATGCATTAGCACGCAACTAGCGTGTTCTGACTTCTAAGCAACAGGTAGAACAATAATATACATTATTAAAGAGTCTCTGGGAAAAGTAGTAAGTTATTTGAAACAATTACAGGTAGTTTACTTTGAAAAGTTGAAGTAGCTGAGATTTTAAATGTTAATTTAATGAGTCTTTTCTGATGATGATCAATTCCCAACTGCTTAAGGTTAATCAAGGGTCTGTAAGTTTATATCTCTCCCATGAGAAGAAGCAGTCCTCAAGGATTCTCAAGGCTCCTTTGCCCATAATATAAAGTGTACCTGCACTAATTAAATCTTTTGATTTCAGCATTTTACTGATCAGGTTATGTTTTTATTTCAATTGATTTGAAATTATTTTTGAACCAGCTATTCAAACCACTTAAAATGAATACATTAACCCCATTCAGAATATATTGTTGCTTTTGAAAGTTATTTAAGAAAAAGACAAAAATATATAAAATGATACTCAAGTCTAAGTATATAAGCAATTTCCACCCTGAAGAACAGTCAGATTAGGAAAGAAGGCTAGGCATCTCTTAGTGAACTATCGGGAACTGAGCTTTCTTGGGAAGGCAGCCGACCTGTTGTGGGTAGTAGCTGTTTCCAAGGTCCACAAGAGTGGAGCTCCGTAGCACAGAGATGGTTGAATAGAGGGTGAAATTTTAGAACCAAACAGTCTGACAGAGAGGGAGAGCATTTCTCTCCAGCAAGAAAATATGAGCATTTAGAATTGTGAAACGTATAATTAGGATTTTTAAAGTTAAAATATCTTGTAAAATGAAAGAAGAAGGTAATTGTGAGGTGAGAGCTACAATTCTATTTAGAACAAACAGAAGAGTTGAAAGGATATAGCTATAGCCTGAAAAGGGAAAGCACTGACATTATTCAAGAGAAAGAGAATTAGTAACTGCATTAATGAAATTCCAACAAATTGATTAAGGCAAAATTTTAAAACACAGCATATCCAACTGTTGGATATAAGGGATCCAGGACATGGCAGACTCTAAAGTAAATGTAAAAATCTCTCCACTTTGGAATAGCAATTATTTTGTCAGTAAAGGAATAAAAAAAGAGCATTTACAGGATAAATAACTATGACATTTATAAAAATGCTTACATTAGAAATAGGCAGAAATATCAGAGCTTCCACTGTAAAGTTTGTGCATCTGAAATTTATCACATTCAACAGAAAGTCTCTACAAGTGCACTTTTTCAAATAAATGCCCTGAAATATTGGTCTTGTTATTCTTCAGTGAAGTGTATAAGTTCCAGTAAAACCCATTTACCAGTTTAATACCTTTTTTATGATAGCATAACTATATACAACTCTGATTTATAAAAAGAAAAGCTCAAGCTCTTAACTTCTAGAATGAGTTTTCTTCACAGGGAAAGTGCACAAATTGAAAGAAATAGAAGAAAATGCTAATATGATGTGAAAATTAGAATTTGAAATGCATATAATGGGAGTCAAAGCTTCTCATTTGGTTATTTTTGTATTGAGTCACATGGAATGATTATGTATTTTTTTAGGCAAAGAAAAAAGACCAATGGAAATTCATTCATTCCCCCATCCCCACCCCAGATATATCCTCTGAATTTCCTTTTATTTTGGCAGTATGCTGAACTGGTATTTATATTATAACCCGGATCTTACTATTGACATTGAAAGTCACAATGAATGCTACAGGTCATCTAAATTACAAATATGTTAATTTTTTTGTTTATCATCACCTCAACTTTTTGAGTTAGAAAGTTATACACTGATATCCCCACACTCTGGAATTTAGGATATAGATAATTTTAAGTTATTTGTCCAAAGTCAGTGATAGATGAGGATCTCTAATTTTTATTCTAGAATGTTCTATCTTTTAGTAATGACGAATTTAATATATAAAAAGTAAACAAGAATAAAACACATTTTTAGAGTCCATCTTTCACCCTTAGAATACAATCTTCCTAGGTACTGTTAAGACCATGAAAATATTGAGATAGGAACCTTTCAAAAATGGTGACAGAAAATTTTTCCAGATCAAGAAGAGATTTGCTAAGAATAGGTTGAAAGATCCTTCCCACTTCTATATTTATGAACACATTGTTTTCACCCTGCATAATTCCTAAGAGTATGGGTAGGCATTATTTAGTACTTATCTTCAATTCAATTGCTAAAAATCCATAGTGTCACATGCACATATTCCAGCTTGCTTCTATTGCATGGAAAGGAATTGTGAAGTCGAAGTTTCCCTTTCCCTTATTTAAAGTAGATCAACGAGCATTATAACAATGAAGCTTTCACTTAATTTTCAAATATAATCACTGATGTTAAAAATGGCTAAAGTGCCAATTTTTAAAATATTTAACACACACATGCCACTTGCCACTTTCTATTACTAAGTAAGATGCATGTTGCCATTTTAATAAAATATTCAAAAAAACAAGATTTTGGAAGCATCAAAGACAAGCAATATGTGAATATTTCTGTAACTGTATTGAGCAGGGATTTACCTTTTTCTTTTTCTTTTCTTTTTTTTTTTAATTTATTTTTTGAGATGGAGTCTCATTCTCTTGCCCAAATGTTGCGATCTCTTGCAGTGGTGTGATCTCTTGCAGTGATGTGATCTCAGCTCACTGCAACTTCCGCCTCCCGGGTTCACACAATTCTCCTGTATCAGCCTCCAGAGTAGCTGGGACTACAGGCATGTGCCACCACGCCCAGCTAATTTTTGTATTTTTAGTAGAGATGGGGTTTCATCATATTGGTCAGAGTGGTCTCGAACTCCTGACCTCAAGTGATCTACCCACCTCAACTTCCCAAAGTGCTGGGATTACAGGAGAGAGAGCCACCAGGCCGGGCCACTGATTTACCTTTTCAAGGAGCATGCCATTTCTATATTTTTACATTAGTTCTAATTTGTGATTTCAATAATCATATTGCTATGTAGTAGCTAAGCTGTATTTAAGATTTCTATGCTAGGCACTCTGCTGGCATTTTGTCATGGTTTAACTTACATAATGCTTATAACCACCTCATGGGATAGCTAGACAATTCTCATATATCGCAGAAAAAGAAATTGAGACCACAAGTTAAGTAACTTATTAAGGTTACACAGTTTAAAAGATTAGTGCCAGGAATACAACCCAGGTCTTTTTGACTAAAAAAGCACGTTCTGAATCATTTTGTTCCTACAGTGTGGCTCATAAGGTGTTCTATAAGTGTTTCATTTTGTTCTTATTGGGCGTTCTTTAGAGTAGTAACTCAAACCAACAATCATCCCATATTTCATAAGTCAATTCTGTATTATCGGTTTAGAGCCAAGCATAATATAGGTTGAAAAAGCACTGATTAATTGTCTATCAAATACAGATTCGTCTTTTCTTGCTTACTAATATAACATGATTTCATTAAGAATGGCAATGTGCATAGCTAAAAAGAATATATTTCACAGCCTTCCTTGTGGCTAGCAATGGCAAAGTGAAACTATTTTGAACAATCAGATGTAAGCAAAAGTGTTGAGATAGGAATTCTGGAATGGCTTTTTCAGGGAACCATTTCATCTCAAACACACCTTTTAAAATCTTTGCTTTCTTCCTTCATTTAGTTTGAAACAAAAAAAATGATTCCCACATATCTGGCAGCCTTTTTGACACAGTGAAGGGAAGAGTAAGTTCCACAATGATGGCAAAGCTTAAAGAGCCTGAATGTCTATCTTTGGGTTTCTTTGTTTATGAGAAATAACCAATCCCCATTTTACAGTTGAAAACATTTTCCGTTTCTGGGTGTCTCTTAACAACTGAATATGATTTCTACTTGACACAATATGTAAAATTAAACTAATAATAATTGTTCTTGTCCTAGGTAAGTTTGATTCAAATTATTTGCTTTCTTAGGCCCTGTTAAAATCAAAAATTTAGCTGAATGAAATTTAAGGGAGTTTAATTGTGTAGTGAATGATTCACTAATTGGGCAGCCCCCAGAATCACATCAGATTCAGAGAAATTCCAGTGCAGCCACATGGTGGAAAAAAATTTATTGACAGCAAAAGGAAAGTGACATACAGAAAATGAAGGTGAAGAACAGAAACAACTGGATTGGTTACAGCTTGGCATTTGCCGTATTTGAACACAGTTTGAACAGTTGGCTACATTTGATTGGCCAAAACTCAGTGATTGGCAAAGGTGTGAGCTATGGTTGGTTTATACTGCCCCTTATTATAATTCATGATGTACAGAAAAACCTTTAGGCCAAACTTAAATATGTAAGGAGGCAGCTTTAGGCTAAGCTTGATTTAACAGCCCTCAGAGGAAAGTGTACTCTATGAAAAAAGATGCTCATATACTGTTTAGAAGAATGTGTTTTTCCAGTGGCTAAAGATGCATTTGATTTCAAAATTAACAGAATTAAAAAATTGATTTTGCAAAGACCGTATGTGGTTTGAAAGTTAAACTATTCTAATCACATCATATTTTAATTTTGTAGTCATTTGGTCTTATTTCAATGTAATTTTTACTTTTCAAAAAAACTTTTCATCTAATGGCTCCAAGATAAAAAATACATATCTAGAGGAAATCTCTTAGGCAATACTGTATTAGTCTGTTTTCACACTGCTATAACAAAATCCTGAGACTGGATAATTCATAAAGGAAAGAGGTTTAATTGACTCACAGTTCCACATGGCTGGGGAGGCCTTAGGAAACTTACAATCATGGCAGAAGGCGAAGCAAACACATCCTCCTTCACAATGCAGCAGAAGAAAGAAGTGCAGATTGATGGGAGAAGAGCCCCTTATAAAACCATAAGATCTCAATCCACTCACTATCACGAGAACAGCATGGGGGAGCTGCCCTCATGATCCAGTCACCTCCTGCAAGGTCCCTTCCCCAACATGTGGGAATTACAAATAGGATTGCAGGTCAAGATGAGATTTGGGTTGGGACACAGAGCTAAGACCATATTATTCCACCCTTTGCCCCTTCCAAATCTCATTTTTCTCACATTTTAAAACACAATCATGCCTTCCCAACAGTCTCCAAAGTCTTAACTTATTCCAGCATTAACTCAAAAGTCCAACTTCAAAGCTCATCTGACAGAAAGCAAGTCCCATCCACCTAGGAGCCTGTAAAATCATAAGAGTTATAGTTACTTCCTGTAAGGTTGGTGCAAAAGTAATTGCTGTTTTTGCCATTACTTTGCACGAACTTAATAGATACAATGAGGGTAAAGGCATTGAATCAGTGCTCTGATTCTAAATGGGAGAAATTGACCAAAAGAAAGGGGCTACAGGACCCATGCAAATCCAAAATCCAATAGGGCATTCATTATATCTTAAAGCTCCAAAATAATCTTTAACTCCAAGTCTCACATCCAGGGTACGCTGATGCAAGAGGCCTTGGGCAGCTCCCACGGCCTTGGGCAGCTCTGCCTCTGTGGCTTTGCAGGGTATACACCCCTTCCATCTATTTTCACATGGGCTAACATTGAATGTGTGTGGCTTTTTTAGTTGCATAGTGCAAGTTGTTGGTGGATCTATCATTCTGGGGTCTGGAGGACAGTGGCCCTCTTCTCACAGCTCTGCTAGGCAGTGCCCCAGTGAGGACTCTATGTGGGGGCTCCAACCACACATTTCCCTTCTGGACTTCCCTAGCAGAGGTTCTCCATGAGGGCTCCACCACTGCAGGAAACTTCTGCCTGGATACCCAGGTGTTTCCATACATCCTCTGAAATTTAGGTGGAGGTTCTCAAACCTCAGTTCTTGACTTCTGTGCACCCATAGGCCAAACACCATGTGGAAGCCACCAAGGCTTGAGGCTTGCCCCCTCTAAAGCAATGGCCTGAGCTATACCTTGACCCCTTTTAGCCTTGGATGGAGCTGGAGCATCTGGAGCTGGACCTGGAGCTGAAAGCAGGGCACCATGTCCCAAGGCTGCATAGAGCAGCAGGGCCCTGAGCCTGGCCCATGAAACCAGTTTTTCTTCCTAGGCCTCTTGGCCTGTGATGGGAAGAGCTGCTTTGAAGGTCTCTGACATGCCCAGGAGTAATTATCCCCATTGTCTTGGCTATTAACGTTCAGCTCTTCATTGCTCATGCAAATTTCTGCAGCTAGCATGAAATCCTCTGCAGAATTTTTCTTTTTTTTGTAATACATGGTCAGGCTGCCCGTTTTCCAAACTTTTATGCTTTGCTTCCCCTTTAAACATAAATTTCAATTTCAAACAACCTCATTGTGAGCATACATAACTGAACACTTTCAGAATCAATCAGGTGACCTCTTGAATGCTTTGCTGCTTAGAAATTTCTTCTACCAGATACTCCAAAATCATTTCTCTCAAGCTCAAAGTTCCACAGATCTCTAGGGCAGGGGCAAAATGCTGCCAGTCTCTTTGCATAGCAAGAGTGACCTTTTTTCCAGTTCCCAAGAAGTTCCTCATTTCCATCTGAGACCACTTCAACCTGGACTTTATTGTCCACATCATTATCAGCATTTTGATCTTAACCATTCAACAAGTCTCTAGGAAGCTCCAAACTTTCCCAAATCCTCTCTTCTTCTGAGTACCCCAGACTTTTCCAACCTGTGCCTGTTACCCAGTTCCAAAGTTGCTTCCACATTTTTGGGTATGTTTACAGCAAATCCTCACTACCTCGGTACCAATTTACTGTATTCATCAGTTCTCACCCTGCTATGAAGAAATACCCAAGATGGGGTAATTTATAGAGGAAAGAGGTTTAATGGACTCACAGTTCCACATGGCTGGGGATGTCTCAGGAGACTTCCGATCATGGCAGAAGGGGAAGCAATCACATCTTTCTCTACAAAATGGCAAGAGAGGAAAGTGTAGAGTGAAGGGGGAACAGCTCCTTATAAAATCACTAGCTCTCATGAGAACTCACTCACTTTCATGAGAACAGCATGAGGGAGCCACCTCCATAATCCAATCACCTCCCACAAAGTCCCTTTCCCAACACATGAGAATTACAATTCAGATGACAATTCAAGATGCAATTTAGGTGGAGGCACAGAGCCAGATGATATTAAATCCCCATGTTACATCCAAATAATCAAACAAAACCATGATAAAAATTAAAATTGCTTATGAAAATGTAAAAGAAATGAAGGAAAAAGAAAGGAAAAAGAAAAAATAGAAGAACAAAAATAATAATACACTAGTTCACTGTATAAAAAATAAAATATATTTTATTCAATGGTAAAGATAAACTAGTGTTATAAATTGCTCAACTTTAATTCTGTTATATTTTATAAGATTTCAATATATAAAATGAGACTGACCTATTTCAACCTTTACTATTTTGCTAAAGAACTATTATATTTCTTGTACAAAATACAGCCAAGGTGAGCTTTTATACATCAAAATGAATTCCGAAAAGGGGACATGCAGTTTTACATTTGCTTTGTTTAGAACAAAAATTATGAAAAAAAGAAAGCTTAGCGAAAGTAGAAAATGACTTTCATAAACAGGAAAAATACCAATTGAATTATACATTCTGAAGAGCAAAATTTCTAAATCTATTTTTCTTATAAAAGAGAATAAATAACTGTAGTAATGATTCTGTAAGATATACGTGTCATGGTACTAAGGAGGTATGGGGAAAGAATAAAAATTTAAAAAAAATAAATAAAAACTGAAAACTAAAATTGGAAAAGTAAATATTAACTATTCTCATATAGAACACATATGAATAGAAATGTATATTACGCTATTCAGGAACACAATTTTACTTTTTCCTGTAGTCTGTCTTTTCTCTTTATTATCTTCAAAGAATTAGATGTTTATCAACAATGGAGTTTCAGAAAGTAGCCCCTATGGGCATCCAATTACTTTCTTCTTCTGCAACCAGCTACTGGAAGATGAAACTTGATTGACAGATAACTCTAGAGTGTAATCCTCCAGGCTCAGTGGTGTTCCTCAGATTGAATCAATGTTAAGACTTTTCCAAGACTCTTCCAAGAACACCCTGGGGGACCCTAATTGAACTCCAGGGGATGGGGCTTAATTCATTTTCAACTCTTGATAGCTCTCAGCCTAAAGAAATCTCCTTAGGCTGAGAAACAGCTTGCAGTTGTAGAAAAAAGTAACAAAAGCCAAAACAGATCTAGACCCCTACTGCATCAGCATATCTGTCTTAATATGCAAGATAAGCTTCATGCTTTTGATAGTGGATAGTGCTATTCCCTCTGCCTGGACTGTCCTGTCTCAGTTCATTTTGACTGCTATAACAAAATATGACAAACTGGGCAGCTTATAAATAACACGAATTTATTTCTTACAGTTCTGGAGACTGAGAAGTCCAAGATCAAGGAACCTGGAACCTGCAAATTTGGTGTCGAGAGAGGGCCTGCTGTCTGGTTCATAGACAGCACCACCTTGCACTGTTCTCAAATAGTGTAAGCAACAAAGCAGCTCTCTGATATCTCTTTTATAAGAGCACTAATGTCATTCATGAGGGCTCTGCCTTCAGGACCAAATTGCCTCCTAAGGGCCCCACCTTCTAATAACATCACATTGATTGGGTTTCAGCATATGAATTTTGAGGGTGATATAGGCCAGGTGAGCCCCCAAATTGAGGCTTTGCCCATAAGTTTACCATCCCTTTCCATGGAAGCAACCTGGAAATTACCATCCCTTTCCTAAAAATTTCTGAATAACCGTCTTAATTTGCATATAATCAGAAATGGGTGTAAATACAAATGCAAAACTACTTCTAAGCTGCTACTCTGGGCACAGTACCTATGAGGTAGCCCTGCTCTGCTACGAGCAGTACTTCTGTATCCAAGGGCAAGCTGGTGGTGTTAGACATCAACTATTATTGATGCAACACTGTACAGCAGTAGCAGAGATACTGCTCCTAGCAGAGCAGAGCTACTCAGAGGCAGTGTGCTCAGAATATCAGCCTAAAATTAGTTTTGCAGTTGTATTTATACACACTTTTAATTACATGCAAATTAAGAGGCAGGTTATTCAGAAATTTTTAGAAAAAGGATGGTAATTTCCAGGTCACAGCCATGGAAAGGGGTGGTAACTTCTGGGTGTTGCCATGGTAATAGTAAACTGATGTGACACTCGTGGACTTGTCTCAGAGAGAAGTGCTTTCACTTCTTCCTTGTTTCAATGACTATTCAGTCTTGTGCAGAATTTGAGCCCTATCTCTGAAGTCACCTCAGGGAAACACAAACATTCAGACTATAGCACTCATACACAAGATGAGCTTCTTGGTTTTGGTAGTGGATACTGCTACTCCATCTGACTGGAATGTCCTTACTGTTCTCTGTTTCTTTCTAAAATTCTGCATATCCTTTAAAGTGTACATCTAAAGTCACCTTCCCTGAGAATCTTTTCCTAGGCTCCCACATCATCCTCTGAGTTTGCAGACTGTTTTATTATGGGCACTTATATTAGGTCTTCTATAGTAAGTGTTTGCTTATTTATTTGTGACAGCATCATGAAAAGGAAAGTGTAATTTCTTTTCTCTTACATATCCTTTTTTGTACTTACAACAGAGGGCTCAGTAAGTCCAATATGAATAAAAGTATTCTGGCCCAATTCATCAGACATCTCTATGTCTACTTCCTTTTATATAGAATGTGAATAATAAATTATGTCTCAGGGAAAATTGTTTTTGGGATAACCAAACATGAATGTGTTTTAGAATGTATGTAGTTTGAGGCTGTATATAAATATCAACCATAAATAAAAAAACAAATCACACATAGTATGTTGTATTCCACTTTTGTGAACTTTTATAAAATGAATTGGATAACACCAGAAAAGAGGTCCTGGGGTTTCACTACCTGCCTTGATAATCTGTAAATTATAAGATGGGACTCACTGTTTACTGGGAGTTGTAAAAATTCCTCCTGGGTCTGACTCACTGTGTCTCCAGATGTTTAGAAAGTACAGATATGCCAGGCTTGTAGGAACACAGCACAAGTATTTCCCAGTCCAGCTACATTTTAGCTTCTGGAAATGGCTCTGAGAGTGAAATTAGCATACGGCCAATTTGCTGGATGCCCAGAGGTTCCTGGATCATGCTGATACATCTTTATCTACTCATTAGCATTATGGCCTGAAATTTGGTTTTCTTGAGTTTATGCCTTTTACTCTTGAAGTATTGTAGATGAACAGTTCATTCACATTAAGCTTCCCTTTCTCCTTTGACAAAATGGGTTAATCAACACTAAACTACAAAATATATGTAGTAAATATCTTGACCTGCATCCAATTATATGTAATTTGTTCTCAATGGGCCAGGAATAGAAAATGACCTTCGCATTATATATACACCTATAGTGTTATTTGTATAGATTTTTGTTATTAATAGAGACACATTTAAGGCAGTATACAAATGTTTTGGTTTTATTATTTTTTATATTCATATAGTCTCTTTCAGGAAAATTTAAATTTAATTTGTCCCCTTAGCATTGACACCAACTTGTTGAACAAGCTTATCTTAATGTGATCTGAATGAAATTAAATTTTGCCTTTTATTTCACATAGAAAAATTTACTCAAGATCAGGTTGTTCAGTTTCCATGTAGTTGTGCGGTTTTGAGTGAGTTTCTTTTTTCCTTTGTTTCTTTCTTTTTTTTTTTTTTTTTTGAGACGGAGTTTCACTCTTGTTGCCCAGGCTGGAGTGCAATGGCATGATCTCGGCTCATCAAAACCTCTGCCTCCTAGGTTCAAGCCATTCTTCTGATTCAGCCTCCCAAGTAGCTAGGATTACAGTCATGCGCCATCATGCCCAGCTAATTTTGTAGTTTTAATAGAGATGGGGTTTCTCCATGTTGGTCAGGCTGGTCTTGAACTCCTGACCTCAGGTGATCCACCAGCCTCAGCCTCCTAAAGTGCTGGGATTACAGGCATGAGCCACTGCGCCGAGCCTTGAGTGAGTTTCTTAATCCTGGGTTCTAATTCGATTGCACCATGGTCTGAGAGACGGTTTTTTATGATTTCTGTTATTCTGCATTTGCTGAGGAGTGTTTTACTTCCAATTATGTGGTCAATTTTAGAATAAGTGCAATATGGTGCTGAGAAGAATCTATATTCTGTTGATCTGTGGTGGAAAGTTTTGTAAATGTCTATTAGTTCCCCTTGGTCCAGAGCTGAGTTCAAGTTCTGAATAACCTTGTTAATTTTCTGTCCCATTGATCTGTCTGATATTGAAAGTAGGGTGTTAAAGTCTCCCACTATTATGGTGTGGGAGTCTAAGTCTCTTTGCAGGTCTCTAAGAACTTGCTTTATGAATTTGGGTGCTCCTCTATTGGGTGCATATATATTTAGAATAGTTAGCTCTTCTTGTTGCATTGATCCTTTCATCACTACGTAATGCCTGTCTTTTGTCTCTTTTGATCTTTGTTGGTTTAAAATCTGTTTTATCAGCGACTGGGATTGCAACCCCTGCTCTTTTTTTGCTTTCCATTTGCTTGGCAAATATTCCTCCATCCCTTTATTTTGAGCCTATGTGTGTCTTTGTATGTGTGTCTTTGCATGGGTCTCCTGAATACAGCACACAGATGGGTCTTGACTCTATCCAATTTGCCAGTCTGTGTCTTTTAATTAGGGCATTTAGCCAATTTACATTTAAGGTTACCATTGTTATGTGTGAATTTGATCCTGTCATTATGATGTTATGCTGGTTATTTTGCCCCTTAGTTGATGTAGTTTCTTCATAGTTTCAATAGTCTTTACAATTTGGTATGTTTTTGCAGTTGCTGGTACCAGTTTTTCCTTTGCATATTCAGTGCTTCCTTCAGGAGCTCTTATAAGGCAAGCCTGGTGATGACAAAATCTCTCAGCATTTGTTTGTCTGTAAAGGATTTTATTTCTCCTTTTCTTATGAAGCTTAAAATTTAGGCAGAAGTAAATAAGTTATTTGAAACCAATGAGAACAAAGATACAACGTACCAGAATTTCTGGGACACAGTTAAGCAGTGTTTAGAAGGACATTTATAGCACTAAATCCCCACAGGAGAAAGCAGGAAAGATCGAAAATAGACACCATAACATCACAATTAAAATAACTAGAGAAACAAGAGCAAACAAATTAAAAAGCTAGCAGAAGACAAGAAATAACTAAGATCAGAGCAGAACTGAAGGAGATAGAGATACAAAAAACCCTTCAAAAAATCAATGCATCCAGGAGCTGGGTTTTGAAAAGATTAACAAAATAGATAGACTGCTAGGCAAACTAATACAGAAAAAAAAAAAGAATCAAATAGACATAATAAAAAATGATAAATGGGATATCACCACTGATCCCACAGAAATACAAACTGCAATCAGAGAATACTATAAACAACTCAATGCAAATAAACTAGAAAATCTAGAAGAAAAGGATAAATTCCTCGACACTTACATCCTCCCGAGACTAAACAATAAAGTTGAATCCCTGACTAGACCAATAACAAGCTCTGAATTTGAAATTGTAATTAATAGCCTACCAACCAAAAAAAGCCCAGGACCAGATGGATTCACAGCTGAGTTCTACCAGAGGTACAAAGAGGAGCTGATACCGTTCCTTCTGAAACTATTCCAAACAATAGAAAAAAAGATACTCCTCCATAATTCATTTTATGAGGCTAGGATCATCCTGATATGAAAACCTGGCAGAGACACAACAACAAAAAAAATCAGGCTAATATCCCTGATGAACATTGATGTGAAAATCCTCAATAAAATACTGGCAACCCAATCCAGCAGCACAACAAAAAGTTTATCCACCATGATCAAGTTGGCTTCATCCCTGGAATGCAAGGCTGGCATACACAAATCAATAAACTAATCCATCACATAAACAAAACCAATGACAAAAACCACATGATTATCTCAATAGATGCAGGAAAGGCCTTCAATAAAATTCAACACCTCTTCATGCTAAACACTCTCAACAAACTAGATCTCAATAGAATGTAATTTGAAAATACTAGAGCTATTTTTTAGAAACCCACAGCCAATATCATACAGAATGGGCAAAACCTGGTTTTGAAAAAATGGAACAAGACAAGGATGCCGTCTCTGACCACTCCTATTCAACATAATATTAAAAGTTCTGGCCAGGGCAATCAGGCAAGAGAAATAAATAAAGGATATTCAAATAGGAAGAGAGGAAGTCAAATTGCTTCTGTTTGCAGATGACATGTTTGTATATTTAGAAATCCCCATCATCTCAGTACAAAATCTCCTTAAGCTAATAAACAACTTCAGCAAAGTCTCAGGATACAAAATCAATGGGCAAAAATCACAAGCATTCCTATACACAAATAAGAGACAAACAGAGAGCCAAATCATGAGTGAACTCGCATTCACAACTGTTGCAAAGACAATAAAATACCTAGGAATACAACTTACAAGGGATGGGAAGGACCTGTTCAAGGAGAACTACAAACCACTGCTCAAGGAAATAAGACAGGACACAAATAGAAAAACATTACATGCTCATGGATAGGAAGAATCAATATCGTGGAAATGGCCGTATTGCCCAAAATGTTATCCCCATCAAGCTACCATTAACTTTCTTCACAGAATTAAAGAAAACTACTTTAAGTTTCATATGGAACCAAAAAAGAGCCCATATACCCAAGACAATTCTAAGCAAAAAGAGCAAAGCTGGAGGCATCACACTACCTGACTTCAAACTATACTACAAGGCTACAGTAACAAAAACAGCATGGTACTGGTACCAAAGCAGATATATAGACCAAATGGAACAGAACAGAGGCCTTAGAAATAACACATCTACAACAATCTGATCTTTGAAAAACCTGATGAAAACAAGCAATAATAGGGAAAGGATACTCTATTTAATAAATGGTGTTGGGAAAACGGGCTAGTCATATTAAGAAAACATAAACTGGACCACTTCCTTACACTTTATACAAAAATTAACTCAAGATGGATTAAAGCATTAAAGGTAAGACATAAAACCATAAAAGTCCTAGAAGAAAACCTAGGCAATACCATTCAGGACATAGGCATGGGCAAAGTCTTCATGACTAAAACACCAAAAGCAATGGCAACAAAAGCCAAAATAGGCACATGGGATCCAATTAAACTAAAGAGCTTCTGCACAGCAGAAGAAACTATCATCAGAGTGAACAGGCAACCAACAGAATGGGAGAAAATTTTTGCAATCTATCCATCTGACAAAGGGCTAATATCCAGAATCTACAAGGAACTTAAACAAATTTACAGGAAAAAAACAAACAACCCCATCAAAAGTGGGCAAAGGATATGAACAGACACTTCTCAAAAGAAGACATTTATGTGGCCAACAAACATATGAAAAAAAGTTCATCATCACTGGTCATTAGAGAAATGCAAATCAAAACCACAATGAGATACAATCTCACACCTGTTAGAATGGCGATCATTAGAAAGTCAGGAAACAACAGATGCTGGTGAGGATGTGGAGAAATAGGAACACTTTTACACTGTTGGTGGGAGTGTAAATTAGTTCAACCATTGTGGAAGACAGTGTGGTGATTCCTCAATGATCTAGAACCAGAAATACCATTTGACCCTGCAATCCCATTACTGGGTATAAATCCAAAGAATTATAAATGATTCTACTATAAAGACACATGCACATATATGTTTATTGCAGCAGTGTTCACAATAGCAAAGACTTGGAACCAACCCAAATGCCCATCAATGATAGACTGGATAAAGAAAATGTGGCACATATACAACATGGAATAATATGCAGCCATAAAAAGGATGGGTTCATGTCATTTTCAGGGATGTGGATGAAGGTGGAAACCACCATTCTCAGCAAACTAACACAGGAACAGAAAACCAAACACCACATGTTCTCACTCATAAGTTGGAGTCAAACAATGGGAACACATACACAGGGCATGGAACATCACAGCCTGGGCCCTTTTGGGGGGTGGGGGGCTAGGGGAGGGATAGCATTAGGAGAAATACCTAATGTAGATGACGGGTTGATGGTGCAGCAAACCACCACTGTATGTGTGTACCTATGTAACAAAGCTGCACATTCTGCACATGTATCCCAGAACTTAAAGTATGATAATAAGAAAAAGAATGTACTCAATGAGTAAAGTTTTCCCCTATCCTTAGATAATATTAGGTGGATCTCAAGGATTCTCTACTCAACTTCTTACTATTAATGAACTTCTAGGTTACAAAAACATTCTCAATTCAGATATTATAATGCCCAACCTGATGAAATAATCATAACTCTGAACCCAAATTGCTATCATTTCACCTCACCAGTTACACGTGGTGGGGCAATAAAATGAACACTTATAGAAAAAGTAAAAACAAAAACAAAATGTCTGGGCCTGCATGGTATAACTATGAGGAGGGGGAAGGCAGAGAGAATTGGAATTTGAGCTCAGCGTGGTGGCTCACGGCTGTAAGCTCAACATCTTGGGAGGCCAAGGCAGGAGGATTGCTTGAGCCCAGGAGTTCAAGACCAGCCTGGGTAATATAGGAAGACTGTCATCTCTACAAAAAAAATCAAAATATTAGCTGCATATGGTGGTGTATGACTGTAGTCCTTGCTTCTCAGGTACTTAGGAGTCTGACATGGGAGGAGGATTGCTTTATCCTGAGAGGTGGAGGCTGCAATGAGCTGTGATCATGCCACTACAGTCTAGCTTATGTAAGAGAGGGAGACTCTGTCTCAATAAAAAGAAAAAAAAAAGAAATAGACTCTTATGATTGTGGTAAAGAAGGAAAAATAAGTTAATTTTTTCTGATATTGGGGTTGCAATGGTTGCTAAGTGAGAAAGAGAGAAGTCTCAGCCTCACGGGGATAGCGAATATTACTCAAAAAAGGAGAGACATGATTTTGAGGAGTGTCACTTCTCTGAGGATGTATTGGGAACCTGAGAGCAGAAGCTTAGAAACATCAACAAGACTACCAACTACTTTCAAATATTTAAGGCAGATCAAGAGGCTTAGCAGACTGTGGAAACAAAGACAAGCCTTCATGGAGGTAGGATTTAAAAGAGCTAAGGAATGCCAGATCCTGGAAAATAAATTTCAGCAGAGAGCAAAGGAAGATACTTTCAGGACATTGCTGGAGAGAAATGCTGAAAAAGATACCAGATAATTGAGAGATCTAGACATGAAGTTTGCTTGAAGAGTTAACTGTTACAAATGTGAGCAACCTGTAAAAGTGGAGAGTATCTGAGGGGAAGCTCAGGCTCAGTGTAACTAACTCTGGGATTGCAAACACAGAGGCTAAGGTAGAGAATAAAAAAAGAAAATTAAACATACACACACACACACACACATATGGCTGGGCCTGGTGGCTCACGCTTGTAATCCCAGCACTTTGGGAGGTTGAGGAGGTGGGTCACCTGAGGTCAGAAGTTTGAGACCAGCCTGGCCAACATAGCAAAACCCTGTTTCTACTAAATATATATATATATATATATAAAATATTTATATATAAATTATATGTATATATATATTTATATATAGATAGACATGTATCTTACATACACATATCTTAAAATTCCTCCTATATGTGTGTGCTTATGTATATGTATATGCATATCACATCTGTGTGTGTGTGGAAGCTAGGGAAGAGGAAAATGATGAGATTAGACCTAGCAAAATTCTGCAACTGTGTTTCAAATTGCAACCTCAAAGGAGGGAGGTAATCTGAATAGGTGGTGGATTTATTTATTCTTGTATTTTGAGAGCTTATTAACACTTTAAGAGAAGTTAACTGAATTCAAGTATTATACACTATGGACATCACTGGCTGGCAAGTCTTAAACATTCAGTCTTTCTTTTTCTTTTATTATCTGTATCATAGTTCACAAATTATACTAGTCTATGTTCTAATTACCGGGGAAATTCTCTTGGGGAAAAAATGGTGGTGACAGTCTAATCTTTGTAAATATGGTAACTGGACCCTTGGATAAATTAACTAATAATATTTGTGAGGGCAGTTTTTACTTACAGAATGCTTTTAGTAGCTTATTTCTAGGTGAAGATTGCACATGGCAAACACAATATATATATATATATATTTATGAAGCATTGTTCTTTGGAGAATGTTGTACAACTTATATACTCTTGTAGTATAAAATGGCACTATTTCATAAATAAAATACTCCCTGCTGTATTAGATGACTAATCAAACCCATTTGAGTCCTCATCTATGACTCTGGGCCAAAAACACAAGTCCATTGTGGAAAGAAAGAACGTGGGATGCAACATGGAATGCCCCAGGCTTCTGCCTTCTTCGTCTCTTCCTCTAAAATAGAGTTCGATACTGGGTAAGATCTATGAAGTGTGGTAATCTGACTGGACAATCCGATCTGATATATTGGTGTCCACTCAGATCACTCAGATTTGTGCTATGAAAATTAATGTCCTTCGGTTCAATGAATCAAAATTTTGGCAAGAAAATTGAATGGATAGAAAATATAGTGAAAATAAAATAGTGGATGATTGCTACTCACCTTAGTATAAATAGATAAAAGATTTGATGCAAATTACTGTAAATGAGTCTTACCAATGGGATTTGGAAGACATAGGCATCAACTAGGATAAATTAAGGAAGTCAATTGATAACAAATGCAAGGCTAAGGAAAATGTGGCAAAAAATTATATTTATTTGCTGCTGTAACAGTTCTAGTAAAATCTATATCAGCACTGTCCAATAGAAATATAATGTGAGCCACAAATGCAAGCTGTATTTATAATTTAAAATTTTCCAGTAGCTCCAGTCACTAGAGTAAAAAAAGGTGAAATTAATTTTGATTAAACAATTAATTCAAAATATTATTCAAAATATTATTTTACCATGTAATCAATATAAAATTTATTAAAAGGCTATTCTATATTAATATCTTATACTAAAACTTTGCAAACCAGAGTGTATTTTAACACTTAGAAGGTGTCTCTGTTTGGACTAGACATATTTCTAGTGCTCAATGTATGCTCAACATATGGCTAGTGGTGAGTGTGCTGGATAGAGCAGGCCTAAGTCTAGATAAAAACAAAAAGAGGAGAGAAAGATGAGAGTATGAGAGTAAAAGATAATTCTGCAGGACTAGTTTTTTCTATCTCTGGATAATGTTCTTATAATTTTTTTTGCTAGCTGCAAGATTTATATTAACCTGCAAATTGAAGCAAATAAGGTCATTGATTAACCAAAAGACTGTATAGGTAGCCAGAGACTAAATTCAGATGACTATATAATGTGAATGCATTCTAGTAAACAACTGATATATTTTTAGAAGTAAATTATAACAGACAACTGTTGAATCATTATTGGTATAGATTCTTAGGTTTAATGATCAGGAGGGAACTTTGCTAATTTTAGATACTATTGAATTAAAGGGATTACTTGGTTGAACACAGATGCCAAGGTGGCTACAAGTTTTTGTGAGCAGATGCATCTACATGGTATGGCAGCTGATCTATTGCTGTGATTTAGGTGCTGGTTGAACAGACCTAACTTGGGAGGGTAGCAAGCAATCTTACCTTCTGCCCTCTGCCTCAAATTTAATACTCCGTTTTAAGGGTCTGGAATACTATTTGCACAGGTAATCTGAGACTATACTTTTTTGACGACTAGAGAGACACAACTAATTTAACACTGCTGTTAGTTTAACTCATATAGATACAGCTACACTGAATGAGGCTGGGTCTCTGTAGTGTTGTGCACTGTATATGACATTGTTCCTGAATATCCAGTTTCTATAAAAACTTGTACTATAATATGTGGTATATGATCATGTCCACAAACCAGGTGAAATCCAAAATTTACTGAAGAGTGGTCTCCATTCACAACCCTAGTCACTGGAAATGTGCAGTAAGTGGGAAAATTTCATTACTATTTGGCAGAGATAACTTGCCATTTTAGCTGAAATGTGATACATAAAACATTAGTTTAATCTTTCCATCTCAATTACATGATGTATCAAAGTGTTTATAAGTTTACTGACGAAATGAAATAAAAATGTGAGGCCAGGCATGGTAGCTCATGCCTGTAATCCCAACACTTATGGAGGACAAGGCCGGCGAATCACCTGAAGCCAGGAGTTCTAGCACAGCCTGGCCAACAAGGTATAACCCTGTCTCTATTAAAAATACAAAAATCGGCTGGACATGGGGATGCATGCCTGTAGTCTCAGCCACTCAGGAAGTTAAGGCAGGAGAGTCTCTTCAACCTGGGAGGCAGAGATTGCAGTGAGCCAAGATCGTGCCACTGCACTACAACCTGGGGAACAGAGCCAGACTCCATCTCCAAAATAAATTAATAAATAAAAGGGATATATGTCAATGATAATTCATAGGATAGGTAAAAATTTTTTATTTACTTTAAATTCTGAGATACATGTACAGAACATGCAGGTTTGTTACATAGGTATACACGTGCCATGGTGGTTTGCTGTACCCATCAACCCGTTACCTATATTAGGTATTTCTCCTAATGCTATAACTCCCCTAGCCCCCCACCCCCCAATACGGACCAGGGTGTGATGTTCCCTGCCCTGTGTATGTGTTCTCATTGTTCAACTCCGACTTATGAGTGAGAATATGTGGTGTTTGGTTTTCTGTTCCTGTGTTAGTTTGCTGAGAATGATGGTTTCCAGCTTCATCCATGTCCCTGCAAATGACATAAACTCATCCTTTTTTATGGCATAGTATTCCATGTTGTACATGTGCCACATTTTCTTTATCCAGTCTATCATTGATGGGCATCTGGGTTGGTTCCAAGTCTTTGCTACTTTGAATAGTGCAGCAATAAACATACATGTGCATGTATCTTTATAGTACAATGATTTATTATCCTTTGGATATAAACTCAGTAATGGGATTGCAGGGTCAAATGGTATTTCTGGTTCTAGATCCTTGAGGAATCACCACACTGTTTTCCACAATGTTGACCTAATTTATATTCCCACCAACAGTGTAAAAGTGTTCCTATTTCTTCACAAACTCTCCAGCATCTGTTGTTTCCTAATTTTTAAATGATTGCCATTCTAACTGGGGTGAGCTGATATCTCATTGTGGTTTTGATTTGCATTTCTCTAATGACCAGTGATGATGAGAATTTTTTCGTATATTTGTTGGCTGCATAAATGTCTTCTTTTTAGACATGTCTGTTCATATCCCTCACCCACTTTTTGTTTGTTTGTTTTTTTCTTGTAAATTTAAGTTCTTTGTAGATTCTGCATATTAGCCCTTTGCCAGATGGATAGATTGCAAAATTTTTCTCTCGTTCTGTAGGTTACCTGTTCACTCTGATGATAGTTTGTTTTGCCATGCAGAAGCTCTTTAGTTTAATTAGATCCCATTTGTCAATTTTGGTTTTTGTTGCCATTGCTTTTGGTATTTTAGTCATGAACACTTTGCCCATGCCTGTGTCCTGAATAGTATTGCCTACGTTTTCTTCTAGGGTTTTTATGGTTTTAGGTCTTATGTTTAAGTCTTTAATCCATCTTGGGTTAATTTTTGTATAAGGTGTAAGGAAGGGGTCCAGTTTCACTTTTCTGCATATGGCTAGCCAGTTTTCCCAACACCATTTATTAAACAGGGAATCCTTTCCCCATTGCTTGTTTTTGTCAAGTTTTTTAAAGATCAGATGGTTGTAGATGTGTGGTGTTATTTCTGAGGCCTCTGTTCTGTTCCTTTTGTCTATTTATCTGTTTTGATACCAGTACCATGATGTTTTTGTTACTGTAGCCTTGTAATATAGTTTGAAGTCAGGTAACGTGATGCTTCCAGCTTTATTCTTTTTTGCTTAGGATTGTCGTGGGTATATGGGCTTTTTTTTTTTTGTTCCATATGAAATTTAAAGTAGTTTTTCTAATTCCATGAAAAAAGTCAATGGTAGCTTGATGGGGATAGCATTGAATCTATAAATTACTTTGGGCAGTATGGCCATTTTCATTGATATTGATTCTTTCTATCAATGAGCATGGAATGTTTTTCCATTTGTGTCCTGTCTTATTTCCTTGAGCAGTGTTTTGCAGTTCTCCTTGAAAAGGTCTTCACATCCCTTGTAAGTTTTATTTCTAGGTATTTTATTCTCTTTGTAGCTATTGTGAATAGGAGTTCACTCATGATTTGACTCTCTGTCTATTATTGGTGTACAGGAATGCTTGTGATTTTTGCACATTGATTTCATATCCTAAGGCTTGGTGAAGTTGCTTGTCAGCTTAAGGAGATTTGGGGCTGAGATGATGGGGTTTTCTTAGCATACAAACATGCCAACTGCAAACAGAGATAATTTGACTTTCTCTCTTCCTATTTGAATACCCTTTATTTCTTTTTCTTGCCTTATTGCCCTGGCCGGAACTTCCAATACCATGTTGAATAGGAATGGTGAGAGAGGGCATCCTTGTCTTGTGCCGGTTTTCAAAGGGAATGCTTCCAGCTTTTGCCCCTTTAATATGATATTGGCTATGGGTTTGTCTAGAAACTGATGGAACTTATTTTTTTTTTTTTGAGACAGAGTTTCCCTCTTATTGCCCATGCTATAGTGCAGTGGCCTAATCTCAGCTCACTGCAACCTCCGCCTCCTGGGTTCAGGTGATTCTCCTTTCTCTGCCTCCTGAGAAGCTTGGATTACAGGCTCCTGCTACCACGCCCAGATAATTTTATGTATTTTTAGTACAGACAGGGTTTCATCATGTTGACCAGACTGATCTCAATCTCCTGACCTTAGGTGATGCACCCACCGCAGCTTCCCGAAGTGCTGGGATTAGACATGAGCCGCCACTCCCGGTCAAATAAGTAAATATTTTTGGAAATTTAGTGGCAGTTTATTTGAAGCTCCCAACTGATGAAATGCCTATGGAGACAGACTAACTGGGAAACATAAATTTGGCTATGAAAATTATCCATGAAAATAAATGTCTCCATCAGCATGGATACATTGATTCAAATAATCACGAATGGTAGAGGAAAAAGAGTACATAATCTGGACAAAGATTATCATAAATATGGTCACAAATAATTGAACAAATATCAAAGAATATGGTCACAAGTAACATGCTTAACAGAGAGAATTTACATCCCTATTCATGGTTCAAATCCTATTATTCATCTAGTAGTTAATTGGCATATTATTTTATATGTTGCAGAAAATTGTGGAATATCTATAAAATGCAATGAGGAGATAATATCCAAGGTCAGATGTGTAGCAGGCAAGAAAAAGTTACAGCTGCTGAACTGTGCTCAATTTCTTCCATGATTGGTAGGTGGGCGAACACTTTGGGAAAAATAAAAAAGGCTAGTAACCTTGTGTAATCAATTTCAATTTCCTTGTAAATATGATTTTTGAACTTCTTGGTAAGTAGACTAATGATACTAGTCACTGTCTATGTAATGACCTTAATAAGATGTCTCTGGATTCAAATTTCTCAAGTAAACAATTTATGGAGAATGTTACAAAAACAACTCTCTGGGTTATAAGACATAGATGTTTCGTAACTGAAATCCTCCTTGCTATATGTGACACCTAAAGCTGGAATAGCAACCCCTTCTGTTTTCCTGGAGCAGAAATCCCTTGTCTTATGTGGCAATCAAGGGCCTAGAGAGCCACATGGGATGATCCAAGTCTCTCTCTCTATTTTGTCTGGATTCCTGACTGTGTGATTCTAACGTATTAGTAAAGTTCCATACTGTGTAAATTAACTTGGGTGATCCTAGATTGGATTTTTTGGGGTTCTGAAAACACTGATTTGCTGAAAAAAATCTGTTTAAGATAAAATTGGTGTTTGGATTATAAGCAGCTGTTATTGCACATGAATTTTGAAATTTTATTTCATTTTTCTATTTTTTTTTCATGGGCATCTAGTGTTGTTATATTCTTATGTCCTGCCTTGCCTCTAAGAGCATAACATGAGCAAATTGGAGTTGGGGTAACCCAATGGTGGAGGTGTGAAAGGGGAGATGGTCTGGAAAAGATGGTAGAATCCACTGATTGAGAGAAGGAGACTCCAAACAGGCACCCGAGTGAAAGATTTTTGGCTTGCCTGGAACAGGATAAGAAAATTGAGTGGCAGAAATGCTTTTATATATGTATTGTGGAACATTAATTTCACTGTGGAATCAATAGTTTCACTTGAAAATGTGAAAGGTTCTCACTGTTAAAGTTAATGGAGTAGAAATAAATTTGAAGTACTTCATATTGCTAGCATTGTGATGTTATATGGCATACATCACATGACCTTTACACAGTGAGCTTGGATAGACAAATGCCTTCGCATTAATCAAGATGGGAGCTAGAAGATTAAAATTTTGTTCTAGAGCTTTGTGTTCTTGGAGAAAACTAACGATTGTCTTCTAACTTTCGATTTCTGAGTCATCTGTGGCTAAAACATATATGCCATTGTTTGAAGTAAAAATGCATGTTACATCAATGAGAAGAAGGAGGAAAAAAAAAGAAAAACTCGAGGTTTAGGTAAGATACTTGACACTCAAGTTTCCTCCTTCATGGGCACAGCTATACTCTTGGTTTAAAACAGTCTGAATTTTAAGCCCAATAGATAAAAATTAATAACAATAAATGTGGAAAATTTGGCTTCTAGGAAGAGTATAAAGTTCCTTCTTCTCCCTTCTGTTATTCATTTTTTCTCAAATACAGGTCAGATTCAGTGAATGATAAATATTCGGCACAATTTCTCTGAAAATCTATCATTCTTCATCTCTCTTTGCAGTATCTCTGTACCATCCACTTGAGCAATAATATAAGAGGATATCAGGCTGCCCTTTACTGTTTGAGAAGAAACTTCATACTAAGGAAAGTTTGGGGAATAGATATGATTGATACTTCCGTGTATTTCACTGCATTTTTTCTCCTTGATGTCTTTTGCCTTGGGTTGCCTTCCTTTAGTATGTCAATCTAGAGAGTCTGCATTCAGGATCCAAAAACCACTCAACACATTTCTGCCAACTGCACTCAGTGGCTGCTTAATGATTGTTGACTAAATCAAGGTGCTAGGCCTTACTCTAAAAATAGGGAGATTTTTGTTTTATATAACCTTTCTAAAAGTCTCTTTTGCAAGTCTGTGTCAGAAGAAAGCAAGTGGTCAGGGATTTTGGCTTTTGGGATTGTGGTTCTCAGCCAAGTATTATTTTATCCTGACTAACACTCACATTGTGCTTTATCACCACCTGTGACTTCATTCATGGAATTGACTGGGCATCGCAGGGTGAATAAGTGAAACATTACTCCTGTATTTTTGAAAATATTGTATCATTTTATGAATATTTGGAAATGTCAGGGTGAGTGCCCCTTGTGTAATACTTTCTTTTCTTGGTAGCTAATAATAATAATAATAATCCATGCAGATATACCTGTTAGTTGGGAATGAAGCCAAATCATTGATTTAAGATTTCATCATGAGCAGATGCTGCTAGAGGTCTCCCTTGCTTCACTTATTATGAAAATCATGTCTTTAAAAGAAGCATCATATCTCTTAAATCAACTTTAGTTGGTGGTGATAACACAGTAATAAAGTTTATCCTTTGAGTAAAGAAAGGGCAAGAAATTGTGAATTCTGTCTTTTATAAGAACATGCCAGTTTGCTATAATATCTATTCAAATCCCTAGATTCATCAAATGTGTAGAGTTAGCATTTGAAACTTATAATGAACAGCCACACTTCAATTGCAGTGTAGCAAGCGGGAGAGAAAAAATAACGTCAATTATCTGCTTTACTTCAACAAGACTATAAAGTATGTTGTATTTGCCGACTCTGTTTTTCTAGTAACCCTGGGTTATCAGAGATGAAAATAAGAAAAATTTACACCTGGGTAATTGTTTGGGTTACCAAAATGACTACTAATATTAGGTTGGTGCAAATGTAATTGTGGTTTTTGCCATTACTTTTGCACCAACCTAATAATAAAACCAGTGATTCAATTCCAAATAATACAGGTTTAATTTCTACTAATTAATACCAAAACATTACCTAAATTCTTTAAACCAGACTGTATTGGGACACATAATGTCTCTAGAACATTTAGGGCTCTTCACAACATTTTTTTCTATTAATTTTTTATTTTAGAAATAAGTCAAGCTGGGTGCAATGGCTCACGCCTGTAATCTCAAAACTTTGGGAACCCAAAGCAGGTGGATCACCTGATGTTAGGAGCTCAAGACAAGCCTGACCAACATGGTGAAACCCTATCTCTACTAAAAACACAACAATTAGCTGGGCATGGTGGCATGTACCTGTAGTCCCAGCTATTCGGGAGGCTGAGGCAGGAGAGTCACTTGAACCCGGAGGTGGAGGTGGCAGTGAGCCAACATCGCACCACTGCACTCCAGCCTGGGGACAGAGAGAGACTCTGTCTCAAAAAATAATAATAATAAAATAAATTAAAAAATAAGTGAAGATATATCCCCCTCCTTTTATTCAGTTTCATCTTTCTCATTGGCTGAGGAAGATAGATTTCTATCAAAAGATAGATTTCTGCTACCTCAGATTCAATAGTTTAAGTGCTAAATTTTCTTTATATCCATATATCTCATTCATGGAGAAGGTAAAAAACTGAGAAACTCAAAACCAATTTCATTTAAATCTCATTGAACTGTGTATTTATTTGTTTAGGATGCCTTTAAATTATGACTTATGATGAGCTGATTGAAAACCATTTTATAAATATTTGAGTTCTACTACCTTTTGGTCACATTTTAGGTACTGATGGGTATCACAGTAAACAAAAGAGCCATACATATTTGTTCTCATGGAACTTTTATTTATGATTTTGGTTGGAGGCAAAAAATCAAATAAATAAGATATATAATTGCAGGTAATAGGTGTTCAATACTATGGGAAAAAATAAAGGAGTATGGGGAAAAAGAAGTTCCACAAGAATGCCATTATAGATAGGATAAGAAAGTGAATTTTGACAAGAGATGTGAAGAAAGCTGCAATTATCTGAGAAAAATGTATGTCAGGTACTGATAACATCAAGGGAAAAGGCAGAAGCACTCTACGTAGCTGAAGTGCAATGAACTTGAAGAAAATCAGGAGGTTAAGAAAGAGAAGAGGCCAGGAGCTTAATCACATAGTTCATTGTAAACCATGGGGGAGACTATGAATTTTACCCTGATGTGATGAGAAAATAGTACAAATTTTGAATAGGGAAGCAATATAATTTGATGCATTTCCGGCATTTCCATTTTATGATAATAGCCATAAATGTTATTACATGCACATAAAAAGTAGAATAATGGATGAAGTTGGTTGAGCAAATAATATTTAGAATTTTTTCTAAAAAAAAAATTTCCAAAGAATTTAGAGTTTTTTTTTTTTTTTTTGGACAGTTTATCACTGTCTCACTCAGACTGGAGTACAATGGTGCAATGGCTCACTGCAACATCAAACTCCTCGGCTCCTGGGCTCAAGCGATCCTTCCACCTCAGCTTCCTGAGTAGTTGGTACTACCAGTGAGTGCCACCATGCCTGGCTATTATTATTGTTTTTGTAAAGACAGATTCTCACTATGTTGTCCCGGCTTGTATTAAACTACTGGCCTCAAACAATCCTCCCACCTCAGCCTCCCACAGTGCTGGGATTATAGGCCTGCCTGAGCAATGAGCCTGGCCAGTGAGAGAGATTTCATGCGTAGTTCCTTAAAATTGTATGCCATAAAATTCTCTCATAGACTAATTTGTGATTTTGAGGATGCAAAATCATCTATATTTACTATGTCTCCCCTTAAAAGCATTGATTAAAATACATATATATAAGCACACATATGTATTGTATATGTTATATATAAAATGTTTTCTATATATAAATATGTTAAACTTCTTTGGAATATGTATAGGAAATAAATTCTATCCAAAAACCACAAAATATTTTAATAGCAATTACATTTTACATAGATCTCATAAAATATATTTTGAAAGATAAAAATCTAAAAAAATTAATAAAATTATATTTTAGATAGTAGTTTTTTAACTAAAAAGTTTTACATTTAATGTCTTACCTTAAGTTTATATGTCATTGAGATGCCAATGTTTTAATGAAAAAGTAGACAATAGAGTATAAAATTCAGTATCACCTATTTGTCTCAAATAAAAGTACAGTGAGTATTAAATAAGAATGACAATATGGTAACAATAACAGAACTTGTAGGTTTTCCCAAATTGAATTAACTCTATTTATCTGAGTTCAAGGAGTACGGAAAATTGAATGTTTGATCTCTCAGCAGTTATTACATTATCAGTTTAACACTATTCAAACACTACAGACGGCATTTCTCTATTCACATTGACTTCTTAACTAAGTGTGCATATGCTGAGCTATAAATAGTTTTTTTCCATGTTTAGTCTCTAAGCACTAAATACGTAGACTTCAGATCAGTCTATGCAACCCAGTGGCCCTCTCTCCAGAGGCATCAGTAATGCATTTGGTAAATGCCTTGAACCATGAATTGTCAATTAACATAGTTATAATCTTGATAATATGAAAAAAGAGTTCCAAATACTTATTTTTTAAATGATAACATTAGAAAAAAGAAACAAACTACAATTATCATCATTTCTATTTCCTGAAAATTCATTTGAGGCAACCTCTGCAAGTCACAGCTCCACATTTACATACAGTTCTGACCCTCTTTTTGGCTGAGCTGTGGTCAATAAACTCTGAAGATATATCCCCAGAACTTTTTGTTTGATTGTCAAAAATCAACTCTTCTCCAGCATTTATAGTTCTCATGGAACACAGAGCTATTTAGGGAAGGCCAGTGTCAAGTTATCAATGAAAACATTGAACATATGAAGTTTTGGGTCACTACTATGATTCACAAAATGAGATACAGTTCCATATTGAGCTGCATCCTCTGTGAATTCATCAGATTCATAGTCCAGATCATTTGTTGTCATATAACTGCCCTCATCTTTCAGCTTCGTCACTTGTGATTACCTTTCCAACTTATTCCATGACAAAACTTATTCTTTTAATCTTCACATGGGTTTTTACACCCCAGCCATGGTCATTGATACTGTGAAAGATGCAAAGTGAATTACTGTGTGCCTTTTTGTACAATCCTATTGGTACAGTGAGGTCCACATTGACAGATTGAGATGCATTTATAGATGGGAGTAACAGGTGGGATTTTAATTTGTTGGTTTTTACTATAAGCCAAAAGAATTCCAGCTTCACCAAGACAACATTTTTCAAAGAAGCAATCTGTGCATGAACAACAAAAGGTAGCTTCATTTACTAAGCTGATTCCAGGAGCTGGTTTGTATTCATCAATATAGCAGAAGTCTGAAGGTGGGCCTTCTAAGTGAACCCTATTTTCAACAAATATCACTCCTTTATTATTCTGTCTTCTGCTGAGTTCATCTTGCCATCTCTGCAGAACTATCCTTTGTTTGGCCTTCTTTACAATGTACTTGGCAATGGCAGGTTTTGAAGTTTTGTTATTGTCTTTTGGAATTATTGCTTTGCCTTTATTTACCTGAGATAAATAATTATGCTCACTATTAAAGAATTGCTGAAACAGTCATGGGCCCTTGAGATTTTGCAAAGGTTCCTAAGTATTTGTAGAATCTAGCCATCATTTTCATTTTACAAGATAAAATTCCATATGCTTCACTGCCTTGTAGTCACACAAGTAGTCCACCAATAGATTGATTCCAATCTATTTACATGTGTGCTTTTCTTTTCTGCATATTTCCTGAAGAATATCAAGTGTAACTAGCCAAGGCACCATACCAAGCTCCTTTGTGCCTTACCCGCAGCTGCTGCCATCTTGTGGATATTTCATTCAAGGTCTAACAGGATAGCTCAGGTGACCTAATGCCCACCCTTGCTCAGCCCTGTGAGACTTGGGGCTAATGCTGGGGGTCTGGTACCTGAGCATCTTGACATCACTGGAGGCCCACTTGGGCTACAGTGTCCCAATACTGTATTGTTTTAATAACTACTTTACTAGACACTTACTATATGTCATCATCTCTCAGTATGGTACATATATTATTTAATATCTAACACTCTTTGTGTAGGCATTGTTATCTCAAATTTTCAGACAAGGAACTTGAGACTCAGATACAGTAAAATAATTAACCACAACTTGCTCAGATAATTAACATCATGGCTAAGTAGCAAATCAAGTTGTGGGTGATTGAAATACAAAATCTTAAGCACTACACCGTAATGCCTGGCATAGGAATCCATACTATGTATCATAAGCAATATCCTAAGATCATGATATTATATAGATACATTTGACAATCTTACTCTTTAGTACTGGTATTTTTGTATGACAAAGAAATCTACTCCACATAGAACAAATTATATCATTGGGTGATTTTCTTGAAAAGTTAACCTAATCTATATAATTGAGGGCCGTATATATGTAACTAAACTCCACTGGATTAACTCTGCACATTTTGAATTTATTTGAAAATATTTAGCTTTCAATGTTTATTTGTTTCACCTAAGGAGAATATCTCTCTGCCCAATGCCTTACACGATATGAATTATATTATGTGCCACCAAGGACTTTTATTCACTCCCAAACATCAATACACCATTAATTAAAAATTAGAAAAATCAAAAATGTTCATTAAAAAATTAATTTTTGGCAAAGTGCACTATTTAGGGAAACTCTTTGCACTTGTTCTTTCTTCCAATAATACATAGTTTTTTATTGCAAAGATGATTGAAGAATGACCTTAGAACAGCAAAGATTTGGCTGTATCGTCTGATAAGAAATATAAAACATTGTATTAAGTAATAATAGAATATTGCAATACATCTCCCATGCTGTATCTTTATGAATCTGTGCCACTGCTTTATATATTTAAGCACCCAGTAATTTTATTCTTCAATAATCAAAGATGTCTTAATATAACTACTTTATTTAATTTAATGCCTTAAGTTAAATCCCTTATGTTTAATGGGTATTCATATATGTATTTCAATTAATTGTTCCATTTTGTAGTTGTTACCACCTTATAAATGAGCAAAGCATTTTACATTTTTTTTCACTTTTAGGTGAAAACAAGAATAATTAAAAAACTGACACGTTTATTAAGCTCCAATGAAATGACATTTATTTTGACTGAAATATAAAATTCTTTATCATGTCATCCCAGCTTTTTTTCCCCAGCTTTCTTGCCACTATCTTTTGCCAAGCATTATAGGGTCTTATAACATGACTTTGTTCTTTCCCAAATGCTCAACACATGCTCATGCCTCAGGCCTTCATGAGTTTGTTTCTTTTCACGTTGTTCCTTCTCTTGGAATGCCTTCTTTACCTGTTAAAATTTTATTCATGTTTAAGCTGATTTATCCTCAGTCTTTCTTCAAGGAGAACTTATCACTCATTAATTCATTCTGATGAAATTTGAACAATAGATTTATTTTCTGATTCATTTATCTAGTTACTTATCAAATTCTTTATAAGTGCTAGCTACAGTGGGAAATCGAATAGTTAATAGAATATTCATAAATGCTTCATTTACACAATCTTTGTAATACATTTACATTACACGTGTTTTGTTATGATGTCATATTTATCTATCCCTCTCCCAAGAGGTGATGAAAGGATAGAGAGGCTATGGAGTAGAGTTTTTTGCTTATGTTTGTATCTTCAGCACTGAGCATTGCTACCTAATACATTCTTTAAATGTTTAAAGATGAACACATAGCAGCTTTTAAGTTCCATATATCTGAAAAATAAGGAAGTGAGAAGCAAAACTTAGATTTTCTAAATCCTATACTGTCAACTGTATTGTAATGGCTCCAATAAGAATTCACTAGGAATAATAATCATTCTACTGATCTCTCTGTGATTCAACCATTTTTTGTTTTTAATGGATGAAATTCACCGATTGCTTTCAAGCATCAAATTAGTGTCAAGTGTAAACTAGGCATATAAGTGAGGTGTTGCTAGTCCCTTTATTTGTTTTGAATACATTGCTAAGGAGTCCACAAATTGGGGACAATCATTATGGATGGTCAATTGTTTTAATATGTGGTGTAATAGTCTAAACCACATAATGGTTTAATAGTCTAAACCACATAATGGTTTAATAGTTTAGAGAGACGTTAGAAATTCTTTTAACCAAAGACAAAACTAGATCTATAGCACGGGTCAATAAACAGAGAATATTGATATGGTTTTGCTGTGCCCCCACCCAAATCTCAACTTGAATTGTATCTTCCAGAATGCCCACGTATTGTGGGAGGGACCCAGGGGGAGGTAATTGAAACATGGGGGCCTGTCTTTCCAGTGCTATTCTTGTGATAGTGAGTAAGTCTCACGAGATCTCATGGGTTTATCAGGTGCTTCTGCTTTTGCTTCCTCCTCATTTTCTTTTTCTGCTGCTATGTAAAATGTGCGATTCACCTCCTGCCATGATTCTGACACCTCCCTAGCCATGTGAAACTGTTAAGTCCAATTAAACGTTTTTTCTTTCCAGTCTTTGGTACGTCTTTGTCAGCACCATCAAAACAGACTAATACAAACATTAATTATAACTAAAAGAAAACGCCCTCCCCATAAAAAATCCTCTGCAATACCAAAAGAAGTCAATATGTGTGTCTTCACATTTGAATACAGCACATGATTACAAAGATCATAAAGATAATTTTAAAGCTTTTTATACGAATTAGGAAGCTGTGTCTTTTCAGTTACAAGCAAAGGATTACTGAACACTAAAGAGTCTCAATATTATATGTAAGCTATAATTACATGCCTGTGATATTGGCTTATGCTAGTTTTTGTTGTATTAGGTAACAAAAACTTCAAACATGTCTCCAAAATGATGGCAATAATCTTTCCAGTCATCAGATTAAGATAAAAGTCTGTAAGAAAAATGTGTCTACTGATCTAATATATAGATAAAATTTGAAAGAGACTAAAGATAGTAAATGGGAAAAACAAAAGTGTTTCAGTACCAGAATGGCTTGAGAATGGGCCAACATTAAAGACAAGGAAAGGTAATTTCTTTTGAAAAAATTGTAAGCTCTTCTACTGTAATTATTTTAAGCTTTTTAAAATTATTATTACACTTTAAGTTCTGGGATACATGTGCAGAACATGCAACTTTGTTACAAAGGTATACACATGCCATGGTGGTTTGCTGCACCCATCAACCTGCCATCTACATTAGGTATTTCTCCTAATGCTATCCTTCCCCTTGCCCCTCAACCCCTGACAGGCCCCCGGTATGTGTGATGTTCCCCTCCCTGTGTCCATGTGTTCTCATTGTTCAACTCCAACTTATGAGTGAGAACATGTGGTGTTTGGTTTTCTGTTCCTGTTAGTTTACTGAGAATGATGGTTTCCAGCTTCATTCATGTCCCTGCAAATGATATGGTTTTTTTAAGGATGCATAGTATTCCATGTTGTATATGTGCCACATTTTCTTTATCCAGTCTATCATTGATGGGTTGGTTCCAAGTCTTTGCTATTGTGAACGCTGTTGCAATAAACTAACATGTGCACGTGTCTGTATAGCAGCATGACTTATAATCCTCTGGGTATATAACCAATAATGGGATTGCTGGGTCAAACGGTATTTCTAGTTCTAGATCCTTGAGGAATCGCCACACTGTCTTCCACAATGGGTGAACTAATTTATACTCCCACCAACAGTGTAAAAGCCATCCTATGTCTCTACATCCTCTCTAGTATCTGTTGTTTCCTGACTTTTTAATGATCACCTTAATGACTACTGGGTAAATAATGAAATTAATGCAGAAATAAATAAGTTCTTTAAAACCAATGAGAACAAAGACACAATGTACCAGAATCTCTGGGACACAGCTAAAGCAGTGTTTAGAGGGAAATTTATAGCACTAAATGCCTATAGGAGAAAGCAGGAAAGATCTAAAATTGACACCCGAACATCACAGTTAAAAGAAGTAGAGAAGCAAGAGCAAACAAATGCAAAAGCTAGCAGAAGGCAAGAAATAACTAAGAACAGAGCAGAACTGAAGGAGAGAGACACGAAAAACCCTTCAAAAGATCAATGAATCTAGTAGCTGTTTTTTTGAAAAGATTAACAAAATAGATAGACTGCTAGCTAATCTAATAAAGAAGAAAAGAGAGAAGAATAAAATAGACACAATAAAAAATGATAAAGGGGATATCACCACTAATCCTACAGAACTACTATAATTTATTGAAATGTTTAGTTTACATAAATATTACAATTCATGGTTTATGAATAAATTATTTTTCAGGACAGTATCGTTTTTGCAGTAGCACTCACCTACTTCATTTCAGGCACCAGGTGCTATGTAAAAGCGATACTATGGCAATATTCTCTTTTGCGAGTATAAATTCTCCAAACCTTTCATCTTACCTCTCCATTTCACTAAGCTCAAACCTCATTACTTATATTCTTACTCCATCTTGTATTTGATACATAATGTTGGATCCTGATTAGGACAACTTCTTTCTATGATTATAGCATTAATCTTTAGGTGGTGCCTTAGATAATGAGTAGCTCTTTGCCACACCTCCTTCCTAAATATCTTTCCTTAAGAATGGCATTCATAACAGTCTTCTTTAAGCCTCTCTAAGAGCACAGGTATTACTACCTACCTTTGATTTCAATATATGTTGACTTGATAAAATAAAATTTTCATTAATAGAAAAAAAAAGAAATGTAATCCTAAAATGTTCCCCAGTAATGTGTTGTGAGTAAATATAAAGGAGTATGGTAGAAAGAAAGAATGAGGTAGAGGAAACAGAGGTAAATCAGTACAGGTAAGAAAAGTAAAGGAAGACATGCATCAAACAATTCACTCCTATTACATGCATGTATTCCTGCACAGAGTTAGGTCTTTGGATCATATTGACCATTGTGGAATTTAATTTCTTGGAAGTCTGACATCATAGTTTTTAAAGCTGTTTTGTATTTTTATTGATTTATTATTTTTCTATTTTGTTCATTATCAGGTCTATATTTACATATCCAAATCTAGCAGCCAACATTTTTGGATTTCAGGTAAGTTATATAAGGTCTCAATAAAATGTGAATAATAATAAATTACCCAGCAGGGGATATATTATAAATAAATAAAATAACATATATAAATTCCCAGTAAATATACTTAGAAACATTTAATACTTATCTATTATTATTTTAAAATTAGTATCATCATTATCATTATCATGCTATTATTATTGTTATGAAACATTTTTAAGAAACCATCCTTGACCATCCTATTTAAGTAGCATTGCTTTTAATTTAGCTTGTATTACATAAAGGCATATTCTTTATAGTATCTTAGCGCAAATGCAAATAAACTGGTTCTTCTGTTTAATATTTATAATATACCTCTTCATCCTTTCCATGTTGCCATTAGTCTGTCTTATTCATTTTTTAAAGCTTAAAAGAGATTCTTAATACATCTGAATAAAATGATGTGACTATTATAAGTAATGTTTATTCACAGCTTACTACATACCCACCCTAATTCTATAACATTTTATATATTTTTAATTTATTTTACTTAAAACTATCTTATCTCCTTTTTTATATTGTAAAAATTTAGACTTGTAGAAGATAAATGAATTTCCCATTGAATTCCCATTAATAATTTGGAAGGCCAGAATATGAACTCACCTCATGATCAGTCTCAAAGATTCTTTAAGTATTCTGCTATAAATCCTCCTATACTGCCTTTATGCTAATTTCATAGCTATAATAAAGTTACCATTTCAAATGTTCATGCCATGGCAAAAACTAAGAAATTATCATACAAATAAACTAAGGAAAACTTAACATATGCATGTACGCTTTCCTAGTATTTATTCAAAATTAATTTTCCCTTTTATTCTGTCTGAGAACTAAATGACCAAGAAGCAAATGTTCAAAAATAGTGTCCCTCAAGTTTGGTAGATGTTATTAATGACATAGTAAGGGAAAAAGAAACAAAATTGAAAATCAAAGATTAATATTAAAACACAGCCAAATAAAAGCACTTTCAATGTGAATTTGATTTTATGTTATTTGTGGTTGAATGATATTTGGGTTTAATTAAATTTACCTTTTAGACACCTAGATGTAGACTTAAAGTTTATATCGACTGAATCTCCTGTAGGTTTTGTTTGTATTTTGTGAAAGAGTGTCATAATTACTTCAAGATAGTCCATGAGAGTGGACTGATTACCTTCCTTTCTATGTCCAAATGTTGCCTAATTATTAACAAGTATACAATAAAATGATTAAGCAAATCCATAATCTTTTGAAACTTAACATCAATTTGAACTAGCTCCCACAACGTTTGAAGTAGTTCTTTGAAAGTTTTTGAAACAACGTGTCATATAAGACTTACATTTAAATGATGAAAGAATCTTGTGCCTTTTACTACATTTTTACTAAATCTTTGTGATAGCACATATATGGTAATATTCAGAGCCAGAAAGAAAAATGTAAGTTAGAAATGCGGGAAGAAATGACTTTTATAATTATCATTTTTCTCATCAAGTGTTCATAATATTTAAGAAATTAGAATGCAGCTATTAAAGCAGTACTCAGATTTTTTATTTTGCTTTCCAATCTGCCAAATTAATCTGCATGAATATTTGCATATCTGAATGTGTTTATCTATTTGTATCTTAGTCATCTTTGGAAGAATAAAATTATTTTCTTTGGCACATATTAATTTTTATTTCTATAATTATTAAGTAGACAAGGTAAAAATAAAATTCCTTTTGGCAATATCTGAAGAGGAAATTATATTAAATTATTAGAAATTTTTTGGATATTTTTTCATGATTTTGCTACATTTTGAGTAGCATAAAGGAACCACATAGATAGATACTACTATACATATATATGTTTACATACACATACATACATACACAGAGAGAGAAAGAGACAGAGAATACTAAGCTAAATCACCCACTAGTGCCTATAATAGGTCCTCAATGAATAAGTACTTAGAAACCTGAAATATGATGGACATTTCTGGCTATATAAAGGCAAGCAAAAATATCAGTATCAAAAGAATAAATATTTGAAAAAAGAGTAAAATAAATATTTAACTGAAAGTCAAAAAGCAAATCTTTAGTGAAAGTAGACCTAATGACTTAGAGCATTAATATCAAAATATACTGCTCAATTTATATTTACATAATAAGAATTTATAGTCAATTCATTGGGAAGAATAAATCAAATAAACAATAATTTGGAGCAATTTGATTAGAGCCTTTCAAGGAAGCTTAGAAGAATAATTTAGGTTTGATTTATGTGCTAGAGGCTTGAGTTAGCTTTTAGCCATCCCTTTACCACCAGAGTTGGTTTCAAACACAGAATTATAGAACACTCTCTCATTTGATAGGTTTTTTGGTAGAACGAAATGTTATCACTTACTTTTATATGCAAATTTGTATTCTAGCTTTTGCTTCATCAGAGTTAGCAGGGAAAATGAATGTAACTACGAAAGGCTAACAAAAAGCTCTGGATAGAGCTCACATCTCACTGCTGCTGCAGTAAAGTTGATTCATTTAAAATGGAAATCTATACCGGAGTTTGCACTACTTTCTTTAAATCTTTCACTTACCAAGTAGTTGCATACATTTTATATCTAAGTGCTGTAGGGCTTACCTACTTAGGGATAGCTGTTTGTTTAAAATATAGTGGTGATTGAATAGCTAGAAGCCATAACATTTGTCCTGCGGAATAAAACATCTCAAGAGAAAGAAACTGCTTATATGGCTGTAGGGCTATATCAGACACAAAATACACCTTTCTAGCAGTAGCTTCTGAGCTGATCAATGGCAGAATTATGTTTTTAAAAAGACCAGTGCACACAAATGTTCTTTGTAATATTTGATTTAAAAAATACACATTGATGAATAAATTTTGTGTTGTAGATAACAATTAGCTCGATATCTAACTATGTCTAGCCTTATCTTGAGAATATGTATTATGGTAACACAAGTACTTTTCCCTCCATATACTTTTAGGGCAAATTTGCTCCATATGCTATTAAGCCAAAGTTTTTCAGTATTAGTGTTCCTCACAGTTTTTCAGAGTAGAAACTATTTTCTATTTAGAATGCCTTCAGAAGCCTGAGGCTTGAAAGCACTTGCCATAGTCAACAACTTATAAAAATAATACAGCCTTCAGATCTCTGCAAAGTCACAATAGATGAAATATGTTTACACTGGAAACAGAAAATCATGCTATGGTCCAGATTCTTCTGGGATCAATGAGTAAGTAAGCTATAATTAGATACTCAAAGGTAGTTCACCAGAGTTATAAACAAATGCTAACGTTAATGGGTTGTAAGGGAACTCAAGCAAGAACCAATCCTGATGGGATTTAATTATTTACTTAGAACAGAAAAGGTATGGGAGGCCCTGAAGCTGAGAACAACCTCAGAGGCTATTAGTCTAGTTACACAAATTAAAGATCACTTCAATTTTATTATCGAGAAGGAAATGTTGTTGTTGGTGTTTTCTAATGGTTTAACTTACAATCTCTTTCCTTTGTCTTCTTTTTACTTTTCCAAGAGGATCTCTCATCCATTCTCATGATTCTGATACATCTAATTCACATAAGTCTCCAAGTGCTACATATCCTATGACATCGTGAATGTTATGGAAGACTACAGAGGTGAAATGTCATTTTCATCACATCTTATCAAGCATATAAACTATTCACTTGTTGTGTCACACCTGAATTATCACTTTTGTCAAGTTTCCCCACTGTAAAGTTCTTTTTGTTCCTCTTTCCATTATATGATCTCTGGAAGGGAATCACTATGTGACTTCTAATGGTTCCTAGAAAATTTGTTGTTTTTCAGTTTGTTGGTTTTTTGTTTTTTTTCTTGTTATATGGATAAGAGTCTCAAATTACGAGATTTTCTTCATACTGGAATCCTGAAATCTCAGAATGCCTTTTAAAAGTATAAATCAGATAATGTCTTTCTCATATGCTTACTTTATGACATGGCTATCCCACCTCAGGTTGTTTCTCAAAGAGAAAGGATAACTTTTGTTCAGATAGAAATTTGTATGCCAATATTTATAACGGCTTTACTAGGAATCACACTGAACTAGAAACAACACAAATATCCTTCAATTGCTGAATTGATAAAAAACAAAAACAAAGAAAAAAGTGACTGTGCTACAACACTCTTCAACAATGAAAGTAGTGAAGCACCAATACAGGAGAAAACAAATGCATTATGAACTTCCCTTCTCGCTTCATTTCATTCATTTCATCTTCCATCACTGATACCCTTTCTTCCAGTTGATCACATTGGCTCTTGAGGCTTCTGCATTCTTCACGTAGTTCTTGAGCCTTGGCTTTCAGCTCCATCAGCTCCTTTAAGCACTTCTCTGTATTGGTTATTCTAATTATACATTCGTCTAAATTTTTTTCAAAGTTTTTAACTTCTTTGTCTTTGGTTTGAATTTCCTCCTGTAGCTCGGAGTAGTTTGATCGTCTGAAGCCTTCTTCTCTCAACTCGTCAAAGTCATTCTCTGTCCAGCTTTGTTCCGTTGCTGGTGAGGAACTGCATTCCTTTGGAGGAGGAGAGGCGCTCTGCTTTTTAGAGTTTCCAGTTTTTCTGCTCTGTTTTTTCCCAATGTTTGTGGTTTTATCTACTTTTGGTGCGGAGAAAACTGGCTAGCCATATGTAGAAAGCTGAAACTGGATCCCTTCCTTACACCTTATACAAAAATTAATTCAAGATGGACTAAAGACTTAAACGTTAGACCTAAAACCATAAAAACCCTAGAAGACAACCTAGGCATTACCATTCAGGACATAGGCATGGGCAAGGACTTCATGTCTAAAACACCAAAAGCAATGACAACAAAAGCCAAAATTGACAAATGGGATCTAATTAAACTAAAGAGCTTCTGCACAGCAAAAGAAACTACCATGAGAGTGAACAGGCAACCTACAAAATGGGAGAAAATTTTCACAACCTACTCATCTGACAAAGGGCTAATATCCAGAATCTACAATGAACTCAAACAAATTTACAAGAAAAAAACAAACAACCCCATCAAAAAGTGGGCGAAGGACATGAACAGACACTTCTCAAAAGAAGACATTTATGCAGCCAAAAAACACATGAAAAAATGCTCACCATCACTGGCCATCAGAGAAATGCAAATCAAAGCCACAATGAGATACCATCTCACACCAGTTAGAATGGCAATCATTAAAAAGTCAGGAAACAACAGGTGCTGGAGAGGATGTGGAGAAATAGGAACACTTTCACACTGTTGGTGGGACTGTAAACTAGTTCAATCATTGTGGAAGTCAGTGTGGCGATTCCTCAGGGATCTAGAACTAGAAATACCATTTGACCCAGACATCCCATTACTGGGTGTATACCCAAAGGATTATAAATCATGCTGCTATAAAGACACATGCACACGTATGTTTATTGCAGCACTATTCACAATAGCAAAGAATTGGAACAAGCCAAATGTCCAACAATGATAGACTGGATTAAGAAAATGTGGCACATATACACCATGGAATACTATGCAGCCATCAAAAATGATGAGTTCATGTCCTTTGTAGGGACATGGATGAAATTGGAAATCATCATTCTCAGTAAACTATCGCAAGGACAAAAAACCAAACACTGCATGTTCTCACTCATAGGTGGGAATTGAACAATGAGAACACATGGACACAGGAAGGGGAACATCACACTCTGGGGACTGTGGTGGGGTGGGGGGAGGGGGGAAGGATAGCATTAGGAGATATATCTAATGCTAAATGACGAGTTAATGGGTGCAGCACACCAACATGGCACATGTATACATATGTAACTAACCTGCACATTGTGCACATGTACCCTAAAACTTAAACTATAATAATAAAAAAATAAAATAAACAAACAAAAAAACAAATGCATTATAATAAATTAAAGAGTCCATACACTAATGTCAATATACAATATGATATTATTCATTTTATATTGTGTTATAGGCAAAACTATAGGGGCAGACAACAGAATAGCTGTTTATAATGGTTGTGTTTTGGAGGATGGTTTGAAGCAAAAGTGCCTGAAGCCAATTGTTCAGTATGATGAATTTGTTCTACATCATGATTGTGTTGCCAGTTACATGATTATATGCTTTGCCAAACATTCAGAAATATATACCAGCAAGGATTAATTTTACTCCATGTGAATTATACCTTAATATTATATATTTTTACAATGAAAAAACCTACTATATTTAACATTATAAAAGTTCAAGCTAGGAAATTTCCTTTCCTAACACTGATTAATTTTAGATCTTACACATGTCATTTCATACATAATGGCTTAAGTGGTAGAGAGTCTCTTTATTTGCAGTTCAGTGATTTTCAAGGGTAATATTGACGTTAGATTTTTTTTTTTACATACTGACTTTAGAATACCATCTCTGAGTACAAGACAACTCTTCTGAAAACAAATAACTAAATAATATTTTGCATGTCATGATTAGCTTTGAAATGATTACACGGGAAAGGTACCAATCTTAGTTCTGGTGATCTTTAGAAATGGCAAAAATGTCATGATAGGTAAAGAAGAAATAGCCCATAAAAGTGGCCAGAAGGATAAATGTTCCTATTTAAGTAAGGTATTTGAAAATACTTACAGTAGAGTTTATAGTGAGTTTGGCTAATCCAAAATAATTCAGAATTCCTAGAATACAGAATGTGTTTGAAGAAAAGGATAGACATCATTCCTGGAGAAGTAATGAGGCAAGATTTTGACAATTGTCAACGATTTTCTCCTTACTTCTTATCCATAGATTCTTTCCTTTTCTCATTATCTTCTCACCATTTTGAAGCCTGAAACAATGACAGAAAGAATTCTGGCTTAGGGGGTCGGAAGGGCCAGGATTTTGTCATGGGCAACTTTATTAATACATGATCATCTGCTCCAGTACCATTAACTGAAAGAAATGGTTATACATAATAATCTAGTTTATCAAATTCACTTAAACAATTTGGGGCTAGAAATAGTATTATAAGTTAAATCTGTATCACACAATTTCTAAAATAAGTAATTAAACATTTCTTACAAAAATATTTGAAACCATTTTTGTAGGCAAGCTTATAGATTTTAAAATTCGATTTGAACTCATAAATTAGGATAACTAAATTTTATTCTAATTTCAAATAGCATCCCTGTTGCATTTAAATATAATTACAAAAGATATTAGCATTTTGTTAAAACATTTTCTCTCTGAATTCTCTATTATTTTTATAGCAATTACATATTTTTAAAGAACAAATTGAGACCTTAAAACAGGCAAAACTTAGTTTAGACAGCATTTAACTTTCGTCAGTCGTTTTTTAAAATTTTTATTGTTTATAGAAATACTTCAGATACACTTATCAATTTGGCATTTAATTTTGTGGCTGCAAATCAATTTTAATTTAAAATTAAGAGCTACACAAAAACAATAAGATATTGGAACTGATTGCAGGATAAATTGCAGCTGTTTCATTTTTAAAATGTGTATATAAGTGAAATAAATGCTTTCAATACCAAGGTTGTCCATTAACATTTTTTAAGTCTCCTTCCAGAAACATATTTTTTGTTGTTTGTATTGACTTCAAGAATCTGACTGATACATAGAAAATGACCTAGTTTTTTAAAAGTGTTTGGTATGCAATAGTTTTGTTTTCAGGTTGTTTTTCAGTGGATTAAACATAACAATAATAAAAAGGCAAAAACAAAACATGTTAATTTTTTTACATTTCCAACTTTTTAAAAATTTTGCTTTAAGTTCCAGGATACATGTGTAGAAAGTGCAGGTTTGTTACATAGGTATGCGTGTGCCATGGTGGTTTGCTGCACCTGTTGACTTGTCCTCTAAGTTCCCTCCCCTCACTCCCACCCCCAACAGGTCCTGGTGTGTGATGTTCCCCTTCCCTGTGTCCATGTGTTCTCATTGTTCGACTCCCAATTATGAGTGAGAACATGCAGTGTTTGGTTTTCTGTTCCTGTGTTAGTTTGCTGAGGATGATGGCTTCCAGCTTCATCCATGTCCCTGCAAAGGACATGACTTCATTCCTTTTTATGGCTGCATAGTATTCCAAGGTATATATGTACAACATATTTTTTATCCAGCCTATCATTGATGGGCATTTGGGTTGGTTCCATGACTTTGCTATTATAAATAGTGCTGCAGTAAACATATGTGTACATGTGTCTTTATAGTAGAATGATTTATAATCCTTGAGGATATACCCAGTAATGGGATTGCTGGGTCAAATGATACTTCTGGTTCTAGATCCTTGAGGAATCACCATATTCTTTTCCACAATGGTTGAACTAATTTACATTCCCACCAACGGCGTAAAGCGTTCCTATTTCTCACAGCCTTGCCAGGATATATTGTTTCTTGACTTTTTAATAATAGCCATTCTGACTGGTGTGAGATGGTTTCTGATGGTGGTTCTGATTTGCATTTCTCAGATCAGTGATGTCAAGCTTTTTTCATATGTTTGTTGGTCAAATAAATATCTTCTTTTGAGATGTGTCTGTTCATATGCTTTGCACACTTTTTGATGGGGTTGTTTGTTTTTTTTTCTTATTTCAAATAGCATCCCTGTTGCATTTAAATATAATTGCAAAAGATATTAGCATTTTGTTAAAACATTTTTTCTGAATTCTCTATTATTTTTATAGCAATTACATACTTTTAAAGAACAAATTGAGAACTTAAAATATGTAAAGCTTAGTTTAGCCAGCATAATCCTGATTCCAAAACAGAGAAGAGACACAACAAAAAAAGAAAATTTCAGGCCAATATCCCTGATGAACATGGATGCAAAAATCCTCAATAAAATACTGGCAAACCGAATCCAGCAGAAAGTAAAAAAGCTTATCCACTACGATCAAGTCAGCTTCATCCATGGGATGCAAGGCTGGCTCAACATATGCAAATCAGTAAACATAATCCATCACATAAACAGAACCAAAGACAAAAACCACATGATTATCTCAATAAATGCAGAAAAGGCCTTTGATACAATCCAACATCTCTTCATGTTACAAACCGTCAATAAAGTAGGTATTGATGAATGCTATCTCAAAACAATAAGAGCTATTTATGACAAACCCACAGTCAATAACATATTGAATGGGTGTCTGGGAAAAAACTGGAAGCTTTCTCTTTGAATGAAAACTGGTACACGACAAGGAAGCTCTCTCTCACCACTCCCGTTAAATGTAGCATTGGAAGTTCTGGCCGGGGCAATCAGGCAAGAGAAAGAAATAAAGCATATTCAAATAGGAAGAGAGGAAGTCGAATTGTCTCTGTTTGCAGGTGACATGATTTTCTATTTAGAAAACCCCATCATCTCAGCCCCAAAACTCCTTAAACTGATAAGCAAATTCAGCAAAGTCTCAGGATACAAAATCAATGTGCAAAAATCACAAGCATTCCTTTACACCAACAACAGACAAGCAGAGAGCCACATCATGAATGAACTCCCATATACAATTGCTACCAAGAGAATAAAATACATAGGAATACAGCTAACAAGAGATTTGAAGGGCCTCTTCAAGGAGAACTACAAACCAACTTTTCTTCTAAGTTCAGGGGTACATGTGTAGGATGTGCAGGTTTGTTACATAAACATGTGCCATGGTGGTTTGCTGCACAGATCACCCCATCATCTAGGTATTAAGCCCAGCATCCATTAGCTATTCTTCCGGTTCCTCTAGCTCTTCCCATGCCCCACCCCACACCCAGTAAGCCCCAGTGTGTGTTGTTCCCCACTATGTGTCCGTATATTCTCATTATCTAGCTCCTACTAATAAGCAAGAACATGCTCTGTTTGGTTTTCTGTCCCTGCGTTAGTTTGCTAATAATAATAGCCTACAGCTCCATCTATGGCCCCAAAAAGGACAGGATCTTATTTCTTTTTATGGCTGCATAATATTCCATGGTGTATGTGCACCACATTTTCTTTACCCAGTCTGTCATTGATGGGCATTTAGGTTGATTCCATGTCTTGGTTATTGTGAATAGTGCTGCAATGAACATATGTGTGCATGTATCTTTGTAATAGAAAGATTTATAGTCATTTGGGCATATATCCAGTAATGCGACTGTTGGGTCAAATGCTATTTCTGCCTCCAGGTTTTTAAGAAATTGCTACACTGTCTTCCACAATGGTTGGACTAACTTATACTCCCACCAAGAGTGTAAAGGCATTCCTTTCTCTTTACAACCTCACAAACATCTGTTGTTTTTGGACTTTTTAATAACAGCCATTCTGACAGGTGTGAGATGGTATCTCATTGTAGTTTTGATTTGTATTTCTCTAATGATCAGTGATGTTGAGCTTCTTTTTTTTCATATGTTTGTTGGCCGCATGTATATCTTCTTTTGAGAAGAGGAAGAGTATGTTCATGTCCTTTGCCATTTTTTAATGAGGTTGTTTGTTTTTTTCTTGTAAATTTGTTTACTTTCCTTATAGGTGCTAGATATTAGGCCTTTGTCAGATGGATAGATTGCAAAAATTTTCTCCCATTCTATAGGTTGTCTGTTTACTCTGTTGATATGAATAGTTTCTTTTCCTGTGCAGAAACTCTTTAGTTTAATTAGATCCTATTTGTCAATTTTTGCTTAACAAAACATTTTTAAATGCATAAATTATGTGTTATCTATCTCTGGGTGCTGCTTGTAATTGCCAGTGGTCTAGTCAGCATTAAAATGTGAATTATGCTATAATGTTTCATACAGATCTGGCTTTCATGATTAAATGTTTCTCAGCAGAGTTATTGGGGCTATTTAATAAAGTCAATGATGAGAATTAGAAAGGCTGGGTTAAATTTCATCATAGCCAAGCACATATGCCTTATAAAGTGCTTCTTAAGGGCTACTGTGTTATATGATCATTTTCAATAATTTTGCTAGGCAATTGTTTCCCAACTTCAGACAACAACTGTATGAACCCAGAAAGATTATATGTAAGACCTGGCACTATCTCTTTTGATCATTATTAGGAGTTTACATCTTTCTTCTGCATTCATAATAAAATGTCTACATTTATAAAAATATTGCTGTAATAGACTTTTTTATTTTAAAACATTTTTACTTGGAAAAGTATAAAGATTGCTGTCTTTAAAAATAATCAGTAGATCACAAAATGTAACAATTAAGGAACAATCACCACACTTCCTCCCTTTTGGAAGTCAATGTTGTTAGAAAAATAATCTGGGCTTCTGAGGCTTTCTCTGCACTATTTAGTGAACTGTCAAATATGACAATATTATAAATAAGTAATAATCTTTAGAATCTTTCAAAATAACTTAAATTTATATTAAATTTTATTTGAAGCACTTCAGGTGGGAACTCCAATTAAATAAGGCTTGCTGTATACACATTTTTCTCTTTTACCTTTTTCCTAAATATGATTAAATGATATTACAGAAAGCACATGGGCTTAAAATAGTAAAAAGAATTGGAAAGGAAAAAAAAATCAGAAAAGATTTCAACAGATTGTGAGAACACTAAATGAAGAGAGAGGAATGCCAACTGATAAAATAAGTTGGCAGAAGCTGCAGGTTAGAATATTCAGTAATCCTGCCCAAATATGCTTGGGAAGCTTTCGATTTGGAAACACCAGGAATGTTAGAGGCAAGTCATGAGGTTGAAAGCCAAGGAAATTAATTGAAGTTACGCAAAGCATTTAAACCACCAATTTATCTATCTTACTTTATATTCAGAATGTCAAGAAACTATGAGTCAACACTTTTTCTTAAAAATGTCAAATGCACCTTAGAGGAGTGAATTTCTGCCCAGCAAAACAACCAGCCCTAAGCTCCAGCAAAGAAAATAAAGAATAACATTGAACAGATTCTGCCCACATATGGAATTTCTCTCCCATAGTTGCAGGCATCATTGTTAAATACGAATGGCCCATTCTGGATCAACAGAACTTAAAAAAATACAAAATTAAAAAAAGGATAAACAAACGTTTAAAAAATAAAATATGTGACCAAAATAAATAAAAATAATTTCAGAAGCAGAATATGTTTTTTTAAAGATAGTCATTTAAAAAGTCCACAAGGAGAAATTGAAATCATAAATGAGAACAGAATGCTATTTTAAAAAGTAACAAGAGCACAAGAAAAATATTTTAAGACATATATATGTATACATATATATATTTAAATTCAGACATAGACTTAGTTTCAATTTTGATATGTAAAAAGCTTGAAAATTCCATGCTGAACATTAAAAGAAGAGAAAAGATGAACAACCTGAAAATTGACAGCTTTTCTCGGACCATCAGAGAATTAGGGTCCTAGTACAAACCCTCATCTAGATATCTGAAAACAAAACAAAACAAAACAAAAAAAAACGTGAATTTAAGAGAAGCACCAAATGCTGTTTCTTAGAAAATTTCAATATAATTAATAAATTGGTAAACTGAGAAGACTGATATACTTTTGGTCAATTTAACCAGCGGAAAAAGGAGAAAAGATACAGTTTACCGATATCAGAAATGAAAAAGAGGGCAGAGTGTGGTGGCTCACGCCTATAATCCCAACACTTTGAGTGGCCCAGGCGAGTGGGTCGCTTGAGGTCAGGAGTTTGGAGAGAAACCTGGGCAACGTGGCCAAAGACCATCTCTACAAAATATACAAAAATTAGCTGGGCATGCTGGCATGTGCCTGTAGTCCTAGCTACTCTGTAGACCGAAGTGCAAGAATCACTTGAGCCAGGCTGTACAGGTTGCAGTGAGCCAAGATCATGACACTGCACTCCAGCCTGGGCAACAGAGCATGACCTTGTCTCAAAAAAACCAAAGCCAAAACAAAAACAAAAAACAAACAAACAAAAGAACTAAAAAAGAGGGTATCTTTTTGATTCCATGAGGCCATCACTGTTTATTCCATGGACACTACAATTTTAAAACTTTGATGAAATTGATTAACTTATTGAATAACACAAACTTCCAAACTCATGTAGGAGAAATATATAATCTGAAAACACCAATATCTATTAAATAAATTAAACCAAAATTAATAATCTTTCTGAAAAGAAAGCATCAGGAACAAATGATTTTAAGAGGTAAATTTTACCAAACATTTAAAGAATAAATGATACCAATTCTCCACAAACCATCCTAGAAACTACAAGTAGAATGAAGACTTTCCACTCATTCTATGAGGCAAAAATTACCCTAATGCCAAAAGTAGACACAAACATTACAAGAAAGGAAAAGTACAAACCAGTATCTCTCATGAACCTAGATGCAAAACTTCTCAAAAGATACTAACTTATTGGATCCACCAATATATCAAAATAATTATATTTCATGGTCAAGTGGGATTTATTTCACGTATGCAAGACTGGTTCAACATTCACAAATCATTTAATGTAATTCACCAAATCAACAGACTAAAGAAGAAAAATCATACAATCATATCAATTGATGCAGGAAAAGTTTTGACAAAATATAACTTCCAGTTATGATAATCACACTTAGCAAACTGACAATATAGGGGAACTTGCTCAATGTGATTAAGAACACCTACAAAAAATCAATAGTAAATATTATATTTAACTGTGATAAATTAGATGCTTTCCTCTAATATTGAGAACAAAGCAAATATTGCCTCACCATTTTGGTTTCTGTAGCTTTGTATTATATTTCGCAATCAGGAAGTGAGATAACCACTGTTTTGTTTTTCTTTCTCTAGATTGATTTGGCTATTTATGATTTTTGTGGTTGCATGTTGATTATAAAATTTCTTCTTTTTTTTTCTGTAAAAAATACCATTGAAGTTTTGGTGATGACAACATTGTGGATTGCTTTGAAAAATATGCACATTTAAAAAATATTAGTTTTTAAATCTGTGAACACATGATGTCTTTTCATTTTCTTGTGTCTTTTAAAATTTATTTTATTAATGTTTCATAGTTTTTAATATATAAGTCCTTCATCTCTGTAGTTTGTTTCTAATTAATTTATTGTTTGTTAATGAAATTGGTTTTCTAATTTTATTTTAAAATAGTTTATTGTTAATGCACAGAAACACAATTTTTTTATGTTTTAATTTTGTATCCTGCAATTTTACTAAATCCATTTGTTAGTTCTAACATTTTTTAACGGAGTCTTTAAAGTTTCATTATACGAGACCATGCCACTTGTAAACAGAAACAATTCTACTTCTTCCTTTCTGATTTGGAGGTCTTTTTATTTCTTTTTCTCACAAACTGGCAATTTTTTTTCTCACAATTTCTCACAAATAGCCAAGATATGGAAACAATTCAAATGTTCTTTGACAGATGACTGGATAAAGAAAATATGGTGTATACATACAATGGGATATTTTTTAGCCTTTAACATGAAGGAAATTTCATAATATATGACAGCATTGATGAACCTTGAGGCCATAGTAAAATGAAATTAAAGTAAAAACACAGTAAGCGAAATAAGCTAGTCACAGAAAGATAAATACTGCATGATTTCACATATATGAGGTGTCTAAAATACTCAAATTCATAGAATCAGAGTGGAATGGTAGCTTATAGGGCCTGGGGATAGAGGAAATGGGGAGTTACTCATCAATCAATGGGCAAAATATTTCAGTTAAGCAAGAAGAATGATTTCTAGAGATGTGTTATATAACATTGTACCTATAGTCAACAATACTGTATTGTACACTTTAAGTTTGTTAAAAAGGCGGGTCTCATGCTGGGTTCTTACCACAATAAGATAAAATTATATTCAAAATTCTCTCCATCATTACTATTCAACAATATACTATAAATCCTAGCTAATACAATGAGAGAAAAATTAAATATACACATTGGGAAAACTAAATAAAACTATCTTTGCATGCAGATGACATACCTGTTTATGTAGAAAATCCCAGAGATTTGACAAAAGTTCTGGAAATAAATGATTATCTCAATTTTACACAGGATATAAGATTAATATAGAGAGTAAATTTCTTTCCCATATACCAGCAATGAGCAATTTAAATTAAGACCATATTTATTTATAATGACTCTAAAATATGTATAAATGTAACAAAATATGTACAGAAACTCGACATGGAAAACTACAAAGCTCTTTTAAAAGTAATTGATGACTACCCAAGTAAATGAAAAGATCTTGTGTTCATATATTGGAAGGCTCAATATTCTTAAAATGCCATTTCTTTCCGAATTTATCTAAAACTTCAACTTAATCCCAATAAAAATTTCAGCAGACTAATTTTTATTATCAACAAACTTATTATAAAGCTTATGTGCAAGAGCAAAAGATCTGGAGTAGTCAACACAATATTAAAGAAGAGCAAAGCTGGAAGACTTATACTATTCAACTTAAAGATTTACCATAAAGCTACAGTAGCTAAGGAGTCATTGTATTAATGAAATAATAGGCCCATGGAACAGAGTACAAAGCTCAGAAATAGAACCATACTAATACAGTCAAGTGATCTTTGACGAAGAAGCAAAGGCAACTCAATGGAGAAATGATGGCTTTTCCTCAAATAATGCAGGGATAATTGGAGCTTCTAAAGGAGCTCCTACTTATTGCTGATGAGCGTGTGTTAATAAAATAGTATATCCTCTGTCAAAGACAATATGGCAGCTTCCAACATAGTTAAACATGTCACCATACAATTTGACAATCATGCCCTGAGGTTCTTATACAATGGTTTAAAATCTATGTTCACACTAAAACTTGCAGGTAGAAGTTTGTAGTAGTTTTATGAATAATTACCCAAAACAGGAATACACCAAGAAGTCCTTCAATAGGTGAACAGATAAATAAACTGGAATATAATATAGATGGAATCTATAGCATGTAGCCCTGTCAACTGGCTAATATACTTTTAAGGTTTTTCCAGGTTATTGTTTGGCTTGATAGCTCAGATTGTTGAAAAATATTTCATTGCATCAACAATCTGTGCTATCAAGCCAAAAAATAACAGGAAAAAACTTAAATGTATAATAGCCAGCTTACAAGGCTATGTGCTATATGATTCCATTTATATTATGTTCTAGAAAAGGCAAAACTAATGGGATAATAAAAGATCAAATAATTACTAAAGGCTGAGAATAAGTGAAGCACAGGAAATGTTTAAAGAGTACGACTATTTCGTATGATACTGTAAATAAGGATATTTGACACTATGCATTTGTCAAGAAATGTAGAAATATAGAAAATAAAAAAGAACCTTAATGAAAACAAATTTTTAAAAATTACATAGAAAGTCATGGGATAGGCCAGGTGCAGTGGCTCATGCCTGTAATCCCAGCACTTTGGGAGGCCGAGGCAGGCATATCACGAGGTCAGGAGTTGGAGACCAGCCTGGCCAACATAGAGAAACCCCGTCTCTACTAAAAATACAAAAATTAGCTGGGTGTGGTGGTGTGCACCTGTAGTCCCAGATACTTGGGAGGCTGAGGCAGGAGAATCCCTTGAACCTGGGAGGTGGAGGTTGTAGTGAGGTGAGATGGCGCCACTGCACTCCAGCCTAGGCAACAGAGTGAGACTCCATCTCAAAAACAAAAAACAAAAAACAAAAAACAAACAAACAAAAAGGAAGTTGTGGGATAACAGGAAACAATGTAGACTGTGACAAGATAATTTAGTTTTATTGCAAGTATAGGAAACAACCCCACTAAATGGGTTGGGAAAAGAGTGCTGATTTAAATATTTTCAGAAATGAATGGAGTCTCTAAGATTAAAGGCAAAATTAAAATGCTCATAAGGAATTTATTTGATAAAGTTGTTTTCTGTAGAAATATGAGTTAACATTTCTGCTACTACTACAGATGTATACTGAAATTGAAGAATTAAGAAAAAAGTTGGCTTACACTATGAGTCAGGTTCTCACGGTTGGAGTCGGATGTTGTAGATACACAAGAGGTAGAAAGTAGTATGATACATTTGGTAATATGGATTAAGGTTACCTATCTCACTGGGAATTTATTTAATTTCATGTATATATGAACAGTTACATATAGAATTATTTATAAAATATGTCTATACACATGTTAGTGTACACATACATGTATTTTTTGCTTTGTCCCCTTATAGGATCTGAAGAAACATACAAGTAGCAACATGCACATCTATTCCCACATCTTGGTTTCTCTAATAAATATAAGTGGAGCTTCTTGGAGAAGTGGTTGATTTTAGGACTGTGGCAGGAAATATATAAGATGAGTCTGGAGTATCTTATAATGCCAGAAAGTAAGGAAATGCTAAAAAAAGAAAAAGAAAGAAAAAAAAGAAATGACAGTTGGAAATATATCAAAGTGCGACACAACAGCCAAGTGAAAGAAATTCTACTATCCAAAGCTGGAACAATTTTAGCAAAAAATGAAGTAGTGCTGGATTATAACATAGAGGATAAAATAAATACCTGTGCATCTATACTGATATAAATACATAATTGAGCAAATTAATAAGTCATGAAAAGAGACAAATCTCCCATGAAGAAGAAAGCCAAATAATTTATCTACAGACACCCTAGAGACAAGTATAAATCTCCACTCCTTAAGTCTGAGCTGCAGACATTGGCCCCCTTTCAAAGAGTACAGAATAGAATGAGGAAAAAACATATAGCATTATAGTGGAGAAATCTGACAGATACTACTTCAGCCAGGTAACCACCATCAATATCAATAGTCATAAATAATTGATAGTATGTACATTTGATTTACATACATGTGAGGAAAATTACACTTTAGCTTTGTGTAATTTGAGAGGAAATTACACCTCCTCTCAAAATCCCATGAACTCAGTGTAATAATGAGAAAAAAAAAAAAACAGAGAAAAAATCCAGTATTGGGGCAACCTACAAATAATTTGACCAGTATTATTCAAAATTATCAAGGTCATCAAAAGCAAGAAAATTCTGACAAACTGTCACCACAAAGAGTTTCACAAAGAGACATGACAATTTAATGTAAGGTCCTGTTTTGAATGGGCTCCTCAGACAGAAAACAAACATATGGTAAAAACTAAGGAAATCTAAATTTATGATAGTCTTTAGTTAATTAAGAAAAAAGAGGGCCAGGGGCAGTGGCTCACGCCTGTAATCCCAGCACTTTGGGAGGCTGAGGCGGGGGAATCACCTAAGGTCCGAGTTTGAGAAGAGCCTGGCCAACATGGTGAAACCCGGTCTCTACTAAAAATACAAAATTATCGAGGCGAGGTGGCACATGCCTGTAATCCCAGCTACTTGGGAGGCTGAGGCAGGAGAATCACTTGAAACCGGGAGGCTGAGGTTGCGGTGAGCTGAGATAGTGCCATTGTACTCCAACCTGGGCAACAAGAGCAAAACTCCGTCTCCAAAAAAAAAAAAAAAGGAAAAAGAAAAAAGATATCTTTTCAATAATATGATGTTTGGGAAAAGACAAAACTATAGAGACAATAAAAAGTCATTGATTCCCAGAAGCTCTGGTAGGTACACAGCATGAGAATTAAATAGTAAAGCACAGAGTATTTTTAGGGTAGCAAAGTTATTCTGTGTGATATTTTGTTGAATACATGATCTTATGCATTTTTCAAAACTAGTAGAAAGCATAAAGATGGAAACTTAATATATGCAAATTACAAAAAAAATATTGGGGAGGTTTGAGGACTCCCAGGAAGGAATGAAGACTGTGACAAGAAAAAATAACTATTACAAATGTATGAAATAATTTTTGTGTAAGGTCAAGAATAAAAAACGCTGACTTAAGTAATTTTTGAAATGAGTAGTCTACAAGAAGAAAGAAAAAATGAACAGCACACAAGGAAGGTTCTTGTTACACAAATGTAAGTACTGTTGATAACATGCACCTCTGATGTGATGTGATGGAGCTGAATAACTTGTTTCCCATGAAGGTAACGATGAACTATTCTGGTACAATTATACATATATACTGAAAATAAACAATGACCTAAATGGATGGCAAACAGTGAGAGCCAGGTTTTTTACTATCTGAGTGGGAATTTACATATTAGCAAAGGGAGGCCAAAATGGTGTATATGGTAATGGATTAGAGTTGGAGACATTAGTATTAATATACATTTAATGTAATATAAATGCAAATGTCTACTTGGAAAAAATTAGATATGTATATATAAAAATAGGTTAGCAAAAACATGTATATTTCCTTGCTATGTTAGCTGAGAAGGCCTGAAAGCACTGATACCCCATTAGCAGTGAGTACAACAAGAACGTAGATCTTAGTTTCTAATACCATTCTTTAAAACAGGAAGGAGAAAGGAAGAAGGAAGAAAGAAATAAAAGAAAAGAAAAGAAAAGAAAAAAAGAAAAGAAATTGAGGCTCCTTAGAGAAATGGCTACTGCTAGGATTGGGGCAGAATATACAAGACGAGCCTGAACCATCATGCCAAAAACTAAGGAAGTACAAAAACAAACAAAAAAAAGGAACATTGATTTGTATATGTCAAAGAAGAGGACACAGGAACCACCAAAAAGAGATCCACGTTCCAAAGCTGAAATGATTTAGTAACAAAATAAAGTAGTATTGGATTATAATACAAAGTGTAAATTGAATATTCGTGAGTCTATACAATATAAATAAAAATATAAATAATGATTGGAAGAGCAGAGACAAATCTCTCATGCAGAAGAATGCCAAGTAATTTATAGATATTATGCCCTTCAAAGGAAGGAGGCATATATCAAAACTTCATAAATGCTGACTATGCATAAATACATTCCTCTTGAGAGTATGATGTGGAAAAGGGAAAACAAGGGAAACCTCAGGGGAGAAACCTGAGAATAACTATCTCAGCCTGGTGATCAAGGTAAGCAACAGTCATAAATCACGTTGCTAGTATGTACCCTTAGTATGATGTGATAAGAATGTTACTTTATATTTGTAGCTTTCCTCTTAAATACCCACAATTCCAGCCTCGTCATGAAAAAAAAATCAGATAAATTCCAACAAGGAGCATCCTTAACATACCTAATCAGTACTTCTAAAAACTGTCAAAGTCATTGAAAATAAGGAAAGTCTGAGAAGCTGTCACAACCAAGAGGAACCTCAGAAGCTGTGATAACTAAAAGTAATATGGTTATTTAGGGGAACCTGAAACAGAAAAGGACATTAAATAGAAATCAAGAAAATCTGAATAAACTATTTTTTTAGTTAATAATAAAATAAAAATATTGGTTTGTTAATTGTAACAAAATGTATCATACTAATGTAAAATATTTATAAAATTATTTACAAAAATATTTATAAAATTAAAAATTTCTGTACTATCTTATATTATTCAATAAATATGAAACTTTTAAAACTTATATTTTTAAAAAGGAAAGGAAACATAAAAACTTTTTCACACAATAAAAACTGAAGAATTTTATTGCCAGTACATCTACTCCACAAAATATGTTGACAGTTTTTGAGATAGAAGAAAATTGATGTAGGTTAAAAACTTGAATACGTATAAAGAAGAACATCAGAAAAGGAATAAGTCAAGTAAAATATATGTATTTATACTTAATTGCTCTCAAATTAACTTACTTAAAGTAATAATTGTGATAATGTAAATTGGATGTTTTTAGCATATATAAAAGTGAAATGAATGACAATGATATGAAACATCAGAGAATTAGGATCATTCTGTTAAACAATAGCTATACTACATATGAAAAAGTATAATATTATTTGAAGATATACTTATGTAATCTCCTTTGTGAACATCTCATTTATACTTCCTAAAAAAAATTTGTGTTGGTTACCCTTGGATTGACAGTATACATTTTAAAATAGTGTAGATTTATAAACAATGCTCAATTAACATGAGTAAAAATAAATTTAAAAAAGAAACGAAAGGCAGAGCAATTAAAAGAAAAATAAACATTAGCAATATGGTCGATTTCAGTCCTACTATATCAATAATCACTTCAGATGTGCATGGTATAAAAATAACAATCAAATGACACAAATTGTCAGATTGGATTTAAAAAAAAAAACCCACAGCTATATCCTGCCTACAAGAGAACCACTTTACATATAAAGACTCAGATGGGTTAAGAGTAAATAAATGGAGAAAGATATATTATACCAACATTAACCAAAGAAAACAGGGAAAGTTACATTAACTTCAGGAAAAGCTGACTTGGAAACAAGGAAGATTATTAGGGATAAAGGGAAATATCACATAATGATAAATGGCACAGATTTCCAAGAAGAGATAAGAACCTTAAAAAGGTATGCATGTAACAACAGAGCATCAAAATACATAAGTCAAAATGTTAGAACTGCAAACAGATATAGATAACTTTACAATTATCATTGGAGACTTTGTCTCTTGTTCATTAATTAATGTATCATGCAGGCAGAAAATCAGTGAGAATGAAGATTATCTAAAGAGCGTTCTCAATCCACTTGACCTAACAGAATTTCTTTTTTGCCATGAACCACAATGGAAGTCTACATCCATTGTTGACACCTATGGATCTCTACTTAGAATAAGAGCTTAAATGCATATAAGAAATGCATACAATTACAATGAATGTCAATTATATTAAAATGTCATTGGGAAAATTTTAAAATAAAATATTTGATGTATAGAAATATATGTTTCTTTACTAAAATATAAAATTAAAATATCTTATAATTTGTCTATTGATTAGCATAAAAGATATTTTGAGATATCTATAACAACTGTAAAGGGAGTGATCAAACCTCACATCTTAGGTACAATAAGCATTACTATGATTTGTTGCCTACGATCAAAATGGAATGTAATGCAAAATGTCCATTGCAGGTAAGTGGAAAATATATATTTATAATATTGCTCATTCAACTTCACAGATTACCCACATCTATTCATAGACCCCAGATTAGAAAAGTGATATTGACAGGACAAAGTGTAAAAATTTCAGACTTTGACCTTCTGTACTTGAAGTGCCTACTTTGCTAGTTGTAGTCTTGAAGACTTCATCACATAATGGAGGTTAATAATAGGTTTGAATAAATTTCTGAGTATTTAATTCTATAATAGTTGTTTACTAGTATTATCAATTCAAAAATTCATATGAATTTCAAGTGATTACTTGAAATAGCAAGTATACTTTCCCATTGATCTGTACAAATTAACAAATGTGATGTTTATTAATATGATAATCTTACAGGCTTTATCAACACATATAAATATTTTCACTAAAAATTTTTTCTGTTCTATTTGCCATTGTAGGGTCTCAGAAATCTGAGTTTCAAAGTTCATGTATACATGTTCTATCATGTGTGTGCATGCGCGTGTGTGTGTGTGTGTGTGTCTGTGTGTGTGTAGTTAGCTTGCTTTTCAGGACACCAATGATAATGTGTCACTAAATAATTAATATAATTAAATAATAATTTTGCCCTGTAGTGGGCACCTAAGATTTGGCTTATTATTATATTTTTAATCACAGCTAGTTTGTAGAGAAATAGGAATCTCAGTTTGAGAAATATTCATAAGAAAAAAATAATGATTCATTAGTCTTTTGTGGATGAGCACTATTGCATTAAAAGTACTAAGTTTTGAGATTGCTGAACTATAGAAAGAAAATAGGTTTCTGTAGCATTCTTGTTAAAATATTTAATCCTAAGAACATTGGTTTCTTTTAAGACTTAGACCTAGTGAATGTAGTATATATTACATTTTGTGGCTTTTGAAATTATAAAGATGAAATATATTTTTCAAGCTCAAATGCTTTTATATAATTATGAGCCTTGTTTTTAAGATTTTTTTTATTTTTGTTGATATGAGGCCTTGCTTTGTTGCCCAGGCTGGTCTCAGGCGATCCTCTCACCTCGGCATGCCAAAGTATTGGGATTACAGATGTAAGCCACTATATCCAGCATGAATCACTTTTCATTAAAACAAAATATGAGTGATTCTCCTGGCCTGTTATTTCCCACTTGTTGATGAGAATGAACTCCAATTTATACAGATAGCATTTATTTTTATATGAGTAAATTTAAAGGATAGTTTTTTTAAAAACTTTTATTTCAGGTTTGAGGGTACATGTGAAGATTTGTTACATAGGTAAAAATGTGTCATGGGACAGTTTGTTGTACGTATTATTTCATCACTCATGTATTAAACCCAATACCCAATAGTTACCTTTTCTGCTACTCTCTCTCCTCCCACCCTCCCCCCTCAAGTAGACCCCAGTGTCTGTTGTTTTCTTCTTTGTGTTCATAAGTTTTTATCATTTAGCTTCTTCTACCTATAAGTGAGTACATGTGGTATTTGGTTTCCTGTTCCTGCTTTAGTTTCCTAAGGATTATAGCTTCTAGCTCCATTCATGTTCCTGCAAAAGATAGGATCTTGTTCTTTCTTTGTGGCTGCATAGTATTCCATGGTGTAGATGTACCACATTTTCTTTATCCAAACTGTCATTGATGGACATTTAGGTTGATTCCATGTCTTTGCTATTGTGAATAGTGCTGCAATGAACATATGTTTGCATGTGTCTTTATAGTAGAATGATTTATAGTCCTTTGGCTATATATCCAGTAATAGCATTGCTGGGTTGAATGGTATTTCTGCCTCTAGGTCTTTAAGGAATCAGCACACTGCCTTCCATAATGGCTGAACTAATTTTTACCACAACAGTGTAAAAGTGTTCCTTTTTCTCCACATCCTTGCCAGTACCTGGTTTTTGGTTTGTTTTTTACTTTTAATAATAGCCATTCTGACTGGCATAAGATGGTATCTCACTGTAGTTTTGATTTGCATTTCTGTAATGGTTAGTGATATAGAGCTTTTTATCATATGCTTGCTTCTTGGCCATCGGTATGTCTTCTTTTGGAAAGTGTCTGTCCATGTGCTTTGCCCATTTTTAAATGCGGTTGTTTTTCTCTTGTAAATTTGTTTAACTTTCTTATAGATGCTGGATATTAGACCTTTGTCAGAAGCATAGATTACAAAAATTTATTCCCATCCTGCAGGTTGTCTGATAGTTTCTTCCGCTGTGCCAAAGCTACCACTTATCAATTTTTGCTTTTGTTACAATTGTGTTTGGTGTCTTTGTCATAAAATGTTTGCCCACTCTTATGCCCAGAATGGTATTGCTTAGGTTGTCTTCCAGCATTTCTATAGTTTTGGGGTTTGCAGTTAAATCTTTAATCCATTTTGTGTTATTTTTTATGTGGTATAAGAAAGGAGTCTAGTAAAAATCCTCTGCATATGGCTAGCCAGTTATCCCACCAACATTTATTGAATAGGGAGTTTTTTCCCCATTGCTTGTTTTTGTCAGCTTTGACAAAGATCAGATGGTCATAGATATACAGCCTTTTTTCTGGGCTCTCTATTCTGTTCCATATGGTCTATGTCTGTTTTTGTACCAGTTTCATACTGTTTTGTTTGCTGTAGCCTTGTAGTACATAGAGTTTGAAGTTGGATGATATGATGCCTCCATCTTTGTTCTTTTTGCTTAGGATTGCCTTGGCTATTTGGGCTCTTTTTCTGGTTCTATATGAATTTTAAAATAGTTTTTTTTTCTAGTTCTGTGAAGAATGTTATTGCTAGTTTGATAGGCATAGCATTTAATCTATAAGTTGCTTTTGGTAGTATAGCCATTTTCACAATATTGATTCTTCCTATTCATGAGCATGGAATGGTGTTCCATTTGTTGGTGTCTTCTCTGATTTATTTGAAGAGTGGTTTGTACTTCTTATTGTAGAAATCTTTCACCTCCCTAGTTAGCTGTATTTCTAGGTATTTTATTCTTTTGCAGAAATTGTAAATGGGATTGCCTTTTGATTTGGCTCTTGATTTGGCTGCTGTTGGTGTATAGGAATCCTAATAATTTTCTACGTTGATTTTGTATCCTACAGCTTTGCTGAAGTTGTTTATCAGCTGGAAGAGCTTTTGGGCTGAGATTATAGGGTTTTCTATATGTAGAGTCATGTTGTCTGCAAATAGAGGTTGTTGGACTTCCTCTCTTCTTATTTGGATGCCCTTTATTTCTTTCTCTTGCTTGATTGCCCTGACCAGAACTTCTAACACTATGTTGTATAGAAGTGTTGAGAGAGAGCATCCTTGTCTTGTGCCAGTTTTCAAGGGGAATGTTTTTAGCTTTTGCTCATTCAGTATAATATTAGCTATGGAATTGTCATAGATGACTCTTATTATTTTGAGGTATGTTCCTTCAATACCTAGTTTATTGAGAGTTTTTAACATGAAAGGGTGTTGAATTTTATTAAAAGTCTTTCTGTGTTTATTGAGATAATCTTGTGGTTTTTGTCTTTAGTTCTATTTATGTGATGTATCACATTTATTGATTTGTGAATGTTGAATCAACTTTGCATCTGGAGAAAAAGTCTGCTTGATCATGGTGGATTAGCTTTTTGATATGCTGCTGGATTCAGTTTGCAAGTGTTTTGTTGAGGATTTTTGCATCAATGTTTATCAAGGATATTAGCCTAAACTTTTCTTTTTTGTGTGTGTCTCTGACAGGTTTTGGTAAGATGACGCTGGTATCAAGAATGATTTGAAGAGGAGTCTCTCCTGCTCATTTTTGTTTGTTTTGTTTTTCAATAGTTTCAGTAGGAAGGGTACCAGCTCATTTTTGTACATCTGACAGAATTCGGCTGTGAATCCATGAGGTCCTGGGCTTTTTTGTTTGTTTGTTAGCTATTTATTACTGATTCTATTTCAGAGCTCATTATTGGTCTGTTCAGGGAATCATTTTCTTCCTGGCTGCTATCATAGAGGCAGAAAATTAACGAAAATATTCAGGACCTATACTCAATGTTAGACCAAATGGATCTGATAGAGCTTTTCAGAACTCTCCACCCAAAAGCAACAAAATATACATTCTTTTCATCATCACATGGTGAATACTCTAAAATTGACCACATGATTGGACATAAAACAATCCTCAACAAATGTAAAAGAACCAAAATCATACCAAACACACTCTCAAACTACAGGATAATAAAAATATAAGTCAAGATTAAGAAAATTGCTCAAAACTGGCCAGGCGCGGTGGCTCACACAAGAAATCCCAACACTTTGGGAGGCCAAGGCAGGCGGATCACGAGGTCAGGCAATCGAGACCATCCTGGTTAACATGGTGAAACCCTGTCTCTACTAAAAAATAGAAAAAATTAGCCAGGCGTGGTGGCAGACACCTGTAGTCCCAGCTACTCAGGAGGCTGAGGCAGGAGAATGGCATGAACCCGGGAGGCGGAGCTGGCAGTGAGCCGAGATCACACCACTGCACTCCAGCCTAGGCGACAGAGCGAGACTCTGTCTCAAAAAAAAAAAAAAGAGAGAGAAAAAAAAGAAAGAAGTAAAATTGCTCAAAACCATGCAATTACATGAAACTTAAACAACATGGTCATAAATGACTTTTGGGTAAATAATGAAATTAAGGCAGAAATCAGTAAGCTATTCGAAACTAATAAGAACAAAGATATGACATACCAGAATCTCTAGGACACAGCTAAGGCAGTGTTAAAGGGAAAACTCATACTAATAAACGCTCACATAAAAAAGTTAGAAAGATCTCAAATTAATAACCTAACTTCAAAATGGAAAGAATTAGAGAAGCAAGAACAAATCATGCCCAAAGCTAGCAGAAGACAAAAAGTAACAAACCAGAGCTGAACAGAAGGAAATTGAGACACAAAAAACCATTTAAAAGAGCGATGAATCCAATAGTTGTTTTTTTAATAATAAAATAGGCCCCTAGCTAGACTAATAAAGAAGAAAAGAGAAGATCCAAACAAAAAAGAGACACAATTAGAAATGACAAAGGTAATGTTGACTCGACAAAAATAAAAACAACCATTAGAAAGTACCTGCTGAGACCAGCTCGGTCATGCAGACCCTAACCCAGTGGCACCAGAGGAATTAAAGACAAACACACAGAAATACAGAGTGCAGAATGGGAATCAGAGGGCTGACAGCCTTCCGAGCTGAAAGCCATGAACCAAGTTTTACCCACATATTTATTGACAGCAAGTCAGTGATAAGCATTGTTTCTGCAGATTATAGATTAAATAAAACGGGAAACAAAGGGATGGGCTCTGGCTAGTTATCTGCAGCACGAACATGTCCTTAAGGCACAGATTGCTCATGCTATTGTTTCTGGTCAGAACGCCTTAAGCGGTTTTCTACCCTGAGTGGGCCAGGTGTTCCTTGCCCTCATTCCGGTAAACCAACAACCTTCAGCGTGGGCATCATAGCCATCATAAGCATGTCACAGTGCTGCAGAGATTTCATTTATGGCCAGTTTTGGGGCCTGTTTATGGCCAGATTTGGGGGCCTGTTCCCAACACTACTATAAAAAGCAGAGCTCTGTGGCCGACGCCTGTAATCCCAGCTCTTTGGGAGGCTGAGGCAGGTGGATCACGAGTTAAGGAGATCAAGACCATCCTGGCTTACATGGTGAAACCCCGTCTCTACTAAAAATAGAAAAAGTTAGCCGGGCATGGTGCCACGCACCTGTAATCCCAGCTACTCGCTATGCTGAGGAAGGAGAATCGCTTGAGCCCAGGAGGCGGAGGTTGCAGTGAGCTGAGATTGGGCCATTGTACTCCAGCCTGGGTGACAGAGCAAGACTCTGTCTCAAAAAAAAAAAAAAAAAAAAAAAAAAGAAAGAAAGAAAGAAAAATAAAAAAAAAAGAAAAAAAGAAACTACAATAAACACTTCTACACACACAAACTAGAAAACCTAGAAGAGATGGATAAATCCTAATACACCCTCACAAGATTAAGCCAGGAAGAAACTGATTACCTAAAGATAGTTTTAAGATCACAGTTGTTCAGAAAAATGAATAAATTTAAAATAAATAAATAAATAAAAATCATTTGAAACTATTGCCCATTTCTGAGAGATGGAAATTACATACATAAAACCCATTATTTTTATTTATTTTTCTCATGTTTTAAAAGAATATTAAATTCTCTTCTAAAAATGTAGGTCCACATATTCACATAAAATCATATATATAATTTTGATGAGCAGTCTTATCTACAAGAGGCTACAAATTATTAATAGTTAGACTATTTCCAGACAAAAGAGACTATGTTCTTGTTTTCAAAATGTTCTCATCGATGGTTTTCCTCAAGAACAAATAATCTCCCCCTGGAAAAATATAACATGATTAGGAATTGAATGTAGATATTTCAAGTATAAAACAGTATTAAAAATTATACTTACATAAAGATAGATGATAGAGAGATAGATAGATGACAGATATGAATGGAAGGAAGGTCAACTATCTCTCTAGAAAATTGAAAATATTTTATTTAAATATTAATACAAATTCAATTTTACACTGTCTCTACTATTTGCTTTTTAAAATTTTCTTATAATAATTATACAAATGCAATGCATCACAAAGTGCCACACAGCTCTATCATTTACTGAGTATGCCACCACTGAATAAGGATGAGAAGCAGTGCTGTCTTCCGGTTTTAGGGTCAGTTGACTGACTGTAAAGGAAACAGAAGATAGATGACTTCTAAAGTAATATAACTTAGCATGAATTAAAATTGCTTCTACCTGATTAAAAAGACAGATATGAAAGTATTAACTGTACAGACTCATGAACAAAGGTGTCTGGGATAGAAAGTCCCTATATGGATGTAGAAAAGCCAAGTTCTGCAACTTTAGTTCGCCTATTACTGGAGGATTTTAAAACAATTTTTGTCCTTGGTCTCAAATTAACATTGCTACTTATTATATATTATACAATAATATAATAATTATTTTATATTACATATGTTGATTTTATAACATACAATAACTGTAAATGCTTTCCTACATTGAAATTTAGTTTTCCCAACTCCATATTATAGTAAATAAGTTCTCTATTGTGTATTTGAGGAGATGAAAGTTTAAAGAAGCTAATCAAGTTGTTCTTTATGTCAAGTTTTTCTCACAATCCACATACATTAGCAAAGACTGCCAGGTTGTCTAAAAATTGGCCACTTTTTACTACTTCAACCACTATACTATGATTTAACCATTACCTTTAGGCTATACTATACTATACTATGATTTAACCATTACCATAACCATTAAGTCATTACTGACTAGAGTTTAGACTATTATAATAGTTGCTAATCAGTTTCCTTGCCATAAGACCTTGCCTCTTTCTCCTGTGCTCACATAGTCTATTCTTTTTATGATAGTGCCATGGACTGAATGTTTATGTCCCTCCAAAACTTATGTTGAAACCCTAATCCCCAGTGCTATGGTACTTGGAGATAAGGCCTTTAGGAGGTAATAAGCTTTAGATTAAGTCAGGAGGGTGAGGTTCTCCTGATCGAATTAATGCCCTTTTAAAAAGAGTAAGAGAGGTGAGCTAGTTCTCTGTCCACCATGTGAGGACACAGTGAAAAGGTGCTGTTTGTAAACCAAGAAGAGGGCCCTCTGTAACAAAATAACCATGCTGGTTCCAGGATCTCAGAATTCCAGCCACCAAAGTCTAAAAAATAAATGTTTGTTCTTAAAGCCACCCAGGTCAAAATTATAATATCGACTGACCTAGATAAGTAGCCAGTGTGATCTTTTAAAAACTGTCAGTCAGGGCCGGGCACAGTGGTTCACACCTGTAATCCCAGCACTTTGGGAGGCCAAGGAGGGCAGATCACAAGGTCAGGAGTTTGAGACCACCCTGGCCAACATACTGAAAACATGTCTCTACTAAAAATACAGAAATTAGCTGGATGTGGTTGCACGCGCCTGTAGTCCCAGCTACTCAGGGAGGCTGAGGCAGGAGAATCACTTGAATCAGGAGGCAGAGATTGCAGTGAGCTGAGACCATGCCATTGCAGTCCAGCCTGGGTGACAGAGCGAGACTCCCTTTCAAAACAACAACAACAACAAAACCAAAACAAAACAAAACAAAACAAAACAAAAAACACTGTCGGTCAGATTAAAAAGTTGCAGTTAAATCGAAAATCTAAAGTGCTTATTATGGTCTAAAGGCCCAAATGATCTGATTCTTGGTTTCCTCCACAACTTCACCTGCTGTCTCCCTTGCTTGTTGCATAACCTCACATGCTTCCTTGCTATACTTCCCTTCTGTTCTCTGTCACTTCCTTTCTGCGGCTACTAAAATGTCTCTACAACCTACACTGGCTATCTAATCCTCTCAATCTGCTTATTCTTCTTAATAATAGTATTACCATCTGAAATGCATATTTGTGTTTACTTTTAGATTCTCACTTCTCTATCATGTCGTTGAGAATAAAGAACTTAATGTGTTGTATTTATGGCAGCACTCTCAGCTCTTAGACTAGTGCCTGAAATTCTGTTATTGCTTAATGAATATTTGTTGAATGAATAAAAAGTTCACTGAGCTCAGTTATCAAGTCTCAGAGCTTACATTTGATCCTGGATTTCTCTGATTTCTAACCATACACAATACTGAATTTATTGTCCCCCATATGTCTAAATAGTTCACTAATATGTGTTCGATGCAACTAATCTCTGAGGGAGGCAGAATAATTGTACAAATTTCATCAGATTTTAGACGAGAAATTTGTAATATTAGGGGATGTTTTAATTAGCTCCAGATGGTTAAATTCAACTGTTCCTAATATGGAAAGCCAGAATGAAATCTTCTAACTCACAATTCTATAAACAAACAAAGTAGTTGAAAAAAAAACAAAACAACAATGTAAGTTGAAAAAAATCACTTAATATTTTAAAATTACTTAAAAATAATTGTGTCTCAATAATTCGGATCAGTTATCTCTACTATTAAGGATGATTCGTTCCTGATTGTTAGTAAAGATTTACGCTAAATAGCCTGTTAATAAAAACTCAGTTTAGTGAATTCATGAGTTACTCTAAATCAATTTCTATGTCCACCTTTGAAATTCCAAATTTTCCCCCATAACTGTTATGAATCCAGCTGTTAGCTGGATCATGCTGAGGATTCATTTGTGAAATCTTCTATGCTATTATAAGATTAAAATTGGGTTCAAAAACTACCTACCAGGTATGATGCTTATTACCTGGGTGGCAAAATCATCTGTAAACCAAACCCCCATAACACACAATTTACCTATATAACAAACATGCACGTGTACCCTTGAACCTAAAATAAAAGTTTTAAAAAATGAGGTTCATTAGCACATAATATTCATCCCTAAATAATTCAGTGGCTTCAATATGGTTTTAGGCTAACATTAGAATTAGGTATTTATTGAACCTCTTCTTGTATGGAAGAATAATATATAATAATAATAATAATATAAGATAATAACATATATTTATGAATACACTCATTATTAGTTGAATTCAAAATACCAAGAGAGCAATTGTCAGTGGTAAATTATTTCAAAATGACAGATTATTAAAATACTCTCATGTATATTCAGACATTTGTAAATTTTTGAAAAATATTATTTTATTTTTTTCCCGCTGATTAGAGAAATGAGTAAAATGTTAGTCAGAAGGCAGCCAACTTGCTGCAATAGAAAGAACAAACTACAATAACAAAACTGACTTTATGTATTACTGTAGTCCACAATTCTCTTAAATTATGATGAAATTCAGTTTTTCATGCACTGACACTGATGGATTGTTGTTATTTTTAGACCCAGTGTTGCAACAACAAGTCGCCAGTGTTAGAAGTGCCCTGGCTATACATGGTGATGGTTACAGCTTTGACTGAGATTACTCCTGACACAGGTCAGGCAGAGCAGTAGACTGGGTCATACTGTCCTGGCAGCTGGTCTTTTTCTTGCCCTTGTATCTTAGAGAAATATGAACCTGTTCAGCCCATACAGCATTGTGGTGGTAATCATTTCTAATGGAGTGTGGTTACAAGATGTTGCAGAAATATATATATATATCATTTTTTCCTGGTAATACATCTTCTTTCTAAAGAGCAAACAATGTCCTACTTAACAAGAATGGCCGCATTCATCTTGATCTGCCTGGGTGTTAAACTTTTCATGGTTGCTGTACTGATTTTTTTAAACAAAAAGCAGTAGAATGCTTAAACATGTTGGAACACAAACAAAGGATTTATATACATAAGGATTGAATGGCATAGTTATTTTTTGTTGTTGTTTTTCAGGATGAGTGCCCAATCATTCAAGCAACAAAAGCTTCTGTTATGTTTGTTTTGTCTGGATTTTTAAAGACAGCTAAATAATAATACCTGTAGTTAGGGGAGAAAAGTGCAAAAAAAAGCTACTAAAATGCTATCTTCAAAATTTAACTTCCAAGTATTACAATTGTTTTTTTCTTATTCAGACTAAAAAGGAGGCAACCAGACAGATGGTAAATGTAGTCTAATCCTGTGGCAGAGAAGAATGGCTGCATACTCAATATCCATTCTGTTTATCTTCCTTAGTAACAGCATAACAACTTTATTTCAGGATGGAAAAACAACAACAACAAACTTTTGCAGCTTTCCTTGCCACTAGGAGTGAATGAAATGTAAATGGAAAGTAATACTTCAGAGAACAATTTTTTAAAAGGGCCCTAATTTAGCTAGAAAGTTGCTTATTTCCCTGAATATTTGTCTTATTCCCACTTCCTTGGCACCAGAAATAATGTTTGGTTCCTCCATAAGCGTCCTGTGACAGTGACGTGACCTCAGATAGGAAAATCATATACTAAGAATGGCTGAGTAGAAAAGAACCACCATGGATTGACTTCCTCTGGATTTCTTTATGAGAGAGAAAGTATAATAACCTGTGTAAGCCACTGTTTTAATGACCATCTTACGAGCAAAAGGATTTCATTACTGCATGAGACAACTCCAGACTCTGTGAGTGGGAAGTTATTCTTCTTATATCCACTCTATGGAAATTGTAGCATTTCCAATTTCCAATTAGCATTAGATTTTTTTCCAGAGAATTGTTCAGAGCCACCATAACTAGAAAGATCATGTTGTTAAGTAGATGAATGGCCTCCACACGTCCTGCTCCACCAGTAATTTTCCCTACCGTCTCCTTGTAGATAGTTGTATGTTAACAATCTGTATGTTTGTTCAATAATTCCTTGCCCCAGTTGAATTTACATAACGTGATTAAATTTCATTGAGGTCAATGTTGTAAAATAATTCACAAAATCTCTTCTGCATATGACAATTATGAATTAAATGGAAATTTTTGCTGTGAACTAAAATATCTGCTTTCTTTGGGGTAGAGAATAAAAATAAGGCCAAAGATCACGTATTGAGAGGGACAGCTGTACAAAGCAAACTGAAATGTTTGGTTCCAAATCAGTTATCCTGGTTCTTGCAGATTCCATTTGCTTTGTCTATCTTCATTAGTAAGCACTAAATAGCAGGATTTTATACATTATACTGTTTCTGTGATTGAATGTGTGTCTTTGGGATAATTATCACCTAATCTTTGAAATATATTTTGCATATTTGGTAACAGAAATTTTATATTAGAAAATATGTAGACTCAAAAATTTTTGAGCATGCCAGGCAAAGTTACAGTGGCAGCAGTTTTTTAATATCCCTAAATCATCCCACGAAATATAGCAAAGAAATGAACAAAACAACAAAAATTATCACAGCCAACATACACCATAAAACCAACTGACAAAGTAACTCCACGAGTCCCAAAATGCATGCAGGTAAGGCCAAATCACTGACAGCAACAATATCTGGAAAGTATAGTAAAACAAATTTGATGGCCTAACCATAAACTTAATGGAAAACATCCAAAATCTTACTAAGACTTCCCTTTGTCAGATGAGTAGGTTGCGAAAATTTTCTCCCATTTTGTAGGTTGCCTGTTCATTCTGATGGTAGTTTCTTTTGCTGTGCAGAAGCTCTTTAGTTTAATTAGATCCCATTTGTCAATTTTGGCTTTTGTTGCCATTGCTTTTGGTGTTTTAGACATGAAGTCCTTGCCCATGCCTATGTCCTGAATGGTAATGCCTAGGTTTTCTTCTAGGGTTTTTATGGTTTTAGGTCTAATGTTTAAGTCTTTAATCCATCTTGAATTAATTTTTGTATAAGGTGTAAGGAAGAGATTCAGTTTCAGCTTTCTACATATGGCTAGCCAGTTTTCCCAGCACCATTTATTAAATAGGGAATCCTTTCCCCATTGCTTGTTTTTTTCAGGTTTGTCAAAGATCAGATAGTTGTAGATATGCAGCGTTATTTCTGAGGGCTCTGTTCTGTTCCATTGATCTATATCTCTGTTTTGGTACCAGTATCATGCTGTTTTGGTTACTGTAGCCTTGTAGTATAGTTTGGTTACTATAGCCTTGTAGTATAGTATAGACATCAGGTAGCGTGATGTCTCTAGCTTTGTTCTTTTGGCTTAGGATTGACTTGGTGATGCAGGCTCTTTTTTGGTTCCATATGAACTTTAAAGTAGTTTTTTCCAATTCTGTGAAGAAAGTCATTGGTAGCTTGATGGGGATGGCATTGAATCTATAAATTACCTTGGGCAGTATGGCCATTTTCACAATATTGATTCTTCCTACCCATGAGCATGGAATGTTCTTCCATTTCTTTGTATCCTCTTTTATTTCATTGAGCAGTGGTTTGTAGTTCTCCTTGAAGAGGTCCTTCACGTCCCTTGTAAGTTAGATTCCTAGGTATTTTATTCTCTTTGAAGCAATTGTGAATGGGAGTTCACTCATGATTTGACTCTCCGTCTGTTATTGGTGTATAAGAATGCTTGTGATTTTTGTACATTGATTTTGCAACCTGAGACTTTGCTGAAGTTGCTTATCAGCTTAAGGAGATTTTGGGCTGAGACAATGGGGTTTTCTAGATATACAATCATGTCATCTGCAAACAGGTACAATTTGACTTCCTCTTTTCCTAATTGAATACCCTTTATTTCCTTCTCCTGCCTACTTGCCCTGGCCAGAACTTCCAACACTATGTTGAATAGGAGTGGTGAGAGAGGGCATCCCTGTCTTGTGCCAGTTTTCAAAGGGAATGCTTCCAGTTTTTGCCCATTCAGTATGATATTGGCTGTGGGTTTGTCATAGATAGCTCTTATTATTTTGAGATACTTCCCATCAATACCTAATTTATTGAGAGTTTTTAGCATGAAGCGTTGTTGAATTTTGTCAAAGGCCTTTTCTGCATCTATTGAGATAATCATGTGTTTTTTGTCTTTGGTTCTGTTTATATGCTGGATTACATTTATTGATTTGCGTATATTGAACCAGCCTTGCATCCCAGGGATGAAGCCCACTTGATCATGGTGGATAAGCTTTTTGATGTGCTGCTGGATTCGGTTTGCCAGCATTTTATTGAGGATTTTTGCATCAATGTTCATCAAGGATATTGGTCTAAAATTCTCTTTTTTGGTTGTGTCTCTGCCCGGCTTTGGTATGAGAATGAACAGACACTTCTCAAAAGAAGACATTTATGCAGCCAAAAAACACATGAAAAAATGCTCATCATCACTGGCCATCAGAGAAATGCAAATCAAAACCACAATGAGATACCATCTCACACCAGTTAGAACGGCAATCATTAAAAAGTTAGGAAACAATAGGTGCTGGAGAGGATGTGGAGAAATAGGAACACTTTTACACTGTTGGTGGGACTGTAAACTAGTTCAACCATTGTGGAAGTCAGTGTGGCGATTCCTCAGGGATCTAGAACTAGAAATACCATTTGACCCAGACATCCCATTACTGGGTATATACCCAAAGGACTATAAATCATGCTGCTATAAAGACACATGCACACGTATGTTTATTGCGGCACTGTTCACAATAGCAAAGACTTGGAACCAACCCAAATGTCCAACAATGATAGACTGGATTAAGAAAATATGGCACATATACACCATGGAATACTATGCAGCCATCAAAAATGATGAGTTCATGTCCTTTGTAGGGACATGGATGAAATTGGAAATCATCATTCTCAGTAAACTATTGCAAGAACAAAAAACCAAACATCGCATATTCTCACTCATAGGCGGGAATTGAACAATGAGAACACATGGACACAGGAAGGGGAACATCACACTCTGGGGACTGTTGCGGGGTGGGGGAAGGGGGGAGGGATAGCATTAGGAGATATACCTAATGCTAAATGACGAGTTAATGGGTGCAGCACACCAGCATGGCACATGTATACATATGTAACTAACCTGCACATTGTGCACATGTACTCTAAAACTTAAAGTATAATAATAATAATAATAATAATAATAATAAAAGACTTCCAAAAGACACAAAAGTAGCTTAAACAAATGAGAATGCATATATCATCTTTGAATAAGAAAATTCAATACCATAATGATGTCATTCCTTCCCAAGTTAATTTAATGCAAAAATGACAATACCATTAAGTTTTTGCTTTTATTTATTTGTCTGATTGTTTTGCCTGAGTCAGACAAGTTCATTATAACAATCAGTTTGAAGATTAAGCAAGCCAGAATGACCACAAAAGGCATAAAATGGAACAGCAATGAATGGGGCAATTGTTATCAGATATTCAAACAAATTATAAAACCTCAATAATTAAAGTAAATGTGATATTGCTGCATAAATAAACAACAGGACCAACAGTACAAATAAAATAACATACAAACCAAGTCATATGTGGAAATATAATATGCAATGTAATTAGCCTCTTTAATTTGTAGGATAAATTAACTTACTAAATTTCTTATTAAAGAAAATTCAATACAAGTAATTTTAACAGAAAAAATATGTAATTGGACCCTTTTCTCAGAATCTACACAAAAATTATTCAAATTGATCAAAGATTTACATCTAAAAATCTAAAATATTCAAGAAATAAAACACGGATAAAATTAAAACTTGGGAATGAGGTAAATTTTTTCTAATAATTTAAAATCTAGACTCAACAACAGAAAGATGGATAAATTTGACTTTAACCTAAAAAACTTATGGAGATCTGAGGACACCGTAAGCAAATTTTATTTCCAATTCTCAGTGAAGATTAACTGTAAATGTTGTTAATATATAAAGAACTTCTAAAAATGGAAAATGAAAAGCCTAAAACATGATAGGAAAACAGGTAGATAATGTGAAGAGGGTCTATAGGGGAAAAAATGCAAATTTTCTTTACCATAAAAAAGGAAATTCAGCTTCACTTACAGTAATGCAAATTAAACCTATACTGAGGGAAGCATTTTCCATTTTACAGATAGGCAAATCCAAAAGTTTGACTCCATATTTACCTATTGAGACTGTGAGAAAACAAGTTGTTTTACAAATTGCTGGAGTGTAAAATAGTTTAATCAGGGGGAAAGTTTGACAATACCTAGTAAAACTACATATACATGTTTTTTTTTTAATTCGGCAATCACACTGCTAAGAATCTATTCCAAAGATATACTAAAAACAATCCCAAAAGACAAATGTATAATTTATAAGTGCAAATAAATAGAAAGTAAACACAAATAGGGAATTAATTAAATATACCACAGAACATCTATACAATGTCATATTATGCAGCTCAAGAAAAGAAGGAGGAATATCTTTAAATAGTTCTGTGGAACAATTTCAGATTATATTCAGGGAAATTAGGTAGAAAAGTGTTCAAATTAGGTTTCCATTTATTCAAGAAAAGAGGAGTAAAACATAAAAATAAACAGTTAGCTTCCAGTTTCATTTTTTCTCTGAAATACAGTAATTTTCAAAAAGTTTCTTCAGGTTTAAAATTATGTAAATTATTTATGCAGGTTTAAAGTTACATCTGCAAAACAAGATCTATTTGGAGGTGTTTTTTCACTTTTGCCCTAGCCAGCCTTTTTCCTTTCTTCCTAAGTTTGATGAAAAATTTTGTTGTTTCATGTTTCTGTGGTTCACCCTTCATTGAGTTTAATTACAAGCACATGTGTGTGTATGTATATGTGTTTGTGTGTATGTATATGTGTGTATGTGTGTTGTGTTTGTACATACATTATGCTTGATTTATAATCATAAAGAAAATAATTTGTAAAAATTACTTTAAAACACAGCATTATACTGCATATGCTAGTGGTAAATACCCTAAAAAAGATAAAGGCAAAATTAAAAATAAAGTAATTAATATGACCCATCCCTGGACAAATTCCTCTCTATCTATGAGATAATTAAACTAAAAATCAAGTTATCTGTCCCCAACATGTAATATAGTGGGTCTGGCATAGCGTAAGAATTACAGACACTTCCATTTCCAAAGAAGATCAAAGAAAGAAAGGAATCTCCAGCTGTATTAGTCAAGTTTCTCCAGAGAAACTAAATGAACAGCATATGTGTGTGTGGCTGTGTGTGGTGGGGGATTATTTTGACTAAGATCCAAATATAGAAAATGTAAATATATATATTATTCCTACAAAATTAGAAAATTGGGCGAAAGAAGAAACAATGTTTTTTACTAGTTGGAAAACAGACAGTAGTGAATGTTGATTCCTGAGAGATAGGAAATATATTAACTGAAGGCCATAGTCTTCTAGTCTTCTATATAGTCAGTTTCCAGACTAAAGTGCAAAAAGAGGATGCCCAAGCAGAAGACGACAGTTTCGTGGAGTCAAGGAGACAGAGATCAGATTTCAGGGAGATAGAAACATTGGGAACAGATGTAGTCTAGAACTGGAATAGAAGGAGGTTTTGAAAAAACTTCAGAAATTTTTATGCACTTTTCTTGGAATCTTGGATTGAATATTATTCTGCCAATGTGTGGGATGAAAAGTAAATGAAATACAGAGATCTATAAACTGAGCTTTTAGAAAATAATATCAGACAACAGATGAGGGAAAACTTCCAATTGTGGAAGAAATGAAGTGGTATAGTTTCTTCACCCATGGGTAGTTTTGTGGCTGAGGGCACTATAAACGAAAGACATTCTAAGGTCCTCTGAGCAGGCTGCACCATGGTCAAGCCATCGTGACCCCTGTGACCCACAGAAGGTCTCCTGGAGCCAGAAAGTCTAGGACAACAGGAAAACCACAAAAGAAGAAAAACGGCTAGTTCCTGTCTTAGCTGATTAGCCAACCTTGCAACATTCTGTCATTGTAACAGGCTTACCCTAACTGATCAATCAACCTCGTGACACTGTGCTCTGTAACCTTGTGATAATGTACCTTATGACATTCTTCCCCTGCCCGCAATAAACGGCTCCTAACTGTAACTTTCCGGTGCTTACCTCTAACTGATAAAACTAGCTCCAACCCACCACCCTCCACTGACTTCCTTCGCACTCAGCCCACTCGCACCCGGGTGAATAAACAGCCTTTGTTGCTCACACTTAGCCTGTTCAAGTTGTCTCTTCAATTAGATGCTCGCATAACATTTGGTGCCGAAAGCCCGGGATAGGGGAACTCCTCCGGCAGACCTCTCCTCTATCCTCCCGGTACCCACGTTCTCCCATGCAAGAGACTTCCCTCGCCCTCAGGACCTCAGACCAGCTCCGCGAGCACTCCGGCCTCTGTCTATGGATATGGTAAGCTGCCTCGGTCTCTCCTCATCTCTCCCTCTCTTTTTCTCTTTTCAAAATTGAGACAAAGAACCTTCCTCTTATCCGTGTTTCAGAAATCCAACACCGGTCACGGACTCTTCTTGGGGAGACAGCCTTCCTTCAGTGTTCGGTCAATGCCCGGGACGCCCGCCTTGGCCATTTGCCAGCCACACAACCCAGGACCTCCAATGGGGACGCCCACTGAGGATCCTAGTGGTTGCTCTTTTCCTTGTCTCTTTCTTTCCCCCCAGTCTTTCCTTGTTCTATCATGGGCAATTTCCCGCCTTCCATCCCTCTTTCTTCTGTCTGGCTTGTGTCCTCAGAAACCTCAAACCTCTTCACCTTGCACCCAATCTAAAGGCTAAACGTCTAATTTTTTTCTGTAACACGTCCTGGCCCCAGTATAAATTAGAAAATGGCGCTCAGTGGCCAGAAAACAGCACTTCCAATTTCTCTATTTTGTGGGACTTAGACAACTTCTATGGAAAAATGGGCAAATGGGTCTGAGGTACCCTACTTCCAGGCATTTTTTACATACGATCTCTCCCTAGCCTATGCTTCCAATGTAATCCATCCCCAATTTTCCTTATTTCCCTTCTGTCTACCCCTCCTTCTTCCACTGGCGATGCTGACTCCTCTTTGTCTGTTGACCCCTCCGATCTTTCTCCCCCACCACCTATCCGAACCTGCTTCTAATTCTCCCCCAGAACCTATTTCTACCCACAATCCACCCTCTTATGCCCCTCCCATTACCACCCTTCCTCACATCCTCTATGGCTTACAGTTTGGGCCTGCGACCAACCCCCAGGCCCCTGCCTAGCAATTTCCCCTCGGAGAGGTGGCAGGAACCAAAGGAATAGTTCGGGTTCAGGTCCCTTTCTCCCTGTTCGACCTTTCCCAAATTAGTGAACATCTAGGCTCTTTCCCATCTGACCCCACCAAATATATACGAGAATTCCAATACTTAACCCAGTCCTATAATCTTACTTGGAATGACTTAAATGTCATCCTTACCTCTACCCTCGCTCCTGAGGAGTGAGAGTGGGTTTGGATCCTAGCTCAATCTTAGGCTGATAACCGCCGGTGCCGTAAGCCTGGCCTCCAGTAAGGTGCTAGGGCAGTACCCTGTGAAGACCCCGGATGGACTTACCAGGCCCTGGGACCCAGGCATAGCCAGGCGGGACTACATGATCTCTTGCCTAGTTAAAGGGCTTCAGAAGGCTGCATATAAAGCCGTCAATTATGACAAACTAAAAAACAAAAACAAAAACAAAAAAAACCACTCAGAACAAAGATAAAAATCCAGCTCAGTTTATGGCCTGTCTACCTGCCACCCTCAGGCGATATACAGCACTAGACCCTGAAGGGATAGAAGGCCGCCTTATTCTTAACATGCATTTTATTACCCAGTCAGTTTCTGACAGTAGAAAGAAACTTCAAAAATTAGAGTCTGGCTCTCAGATCCCACAACAGGAATTAATCAACCTCGCCTTCAAGGTGTTCAATAATAGGGAAGAGACTGCCCGGCGACAGCGCATTTCAGAACTACAGATGCTTGCCTCCGCCATAAGACAAACCCCAGCTGCACTGCCTACCTGCAAGAACTTCAAGGCATCTAAACGCAACATCCAACAGCCCCTCTGGGACTTTGCTTCAAGCGATGAAAACCTGGCCACTGGGCCAAGGAATGCCTGCAGCCTGGGATTCCTCCTAAGCCATGCCCCGCCTGTGCGGGCCCTCACTGGAAGTCTGACTGCCCGACTCTCATCGCCACTTCCGGAGCTCCTGGAGCTCAAACCCAAAGCTCCCCACCGACTCCTTCCCAGATCTCCTCGGCTTGGCGGCTGAAGACTGACGCTGCCCGAACGTCTCGGAGGCCCCTTAGACAATCGCGGATGCCGAGCTTCGGGTAACTCTTAGGGTGGAGGGTAAGTCCGTCCCATTCTTAATCAATACGGGGAATACCCACTCTACGTTACCTTCTTTTCAAGGGCCTGTTTCCCTTGCCCGCACAACTGTTGTGGGTACTGACAGCCAAGCTTCTAAACGCCTTAAAATTCCCCAACTCTAGTGTCACATCAGGCAACACTCCTTTTTGCACTCTTTCCTAGTTATCCCCACCTGCCCAGTCCCCTTATTATGCGGAGATATTTTAACTAAATTTTCTGCCTCCCTGACTATTCCTGGACTACAGCCACATCTCACAGCTACCCTTTTATTCAATTCCAACCCTCCCTCCAACCTCCCCTTTCATCTCCCCACTTCAACCCTGAAGTATGGGATACCTCCGCTCCTTCCCTTGCAACTGACCATTCACCCCTTATCATCCCATTAACAAATAACCACCCCTATCCTGCTCAACACCGGTACCCCATCCCACAACAGGCTTTAAGGGGCCTAAAGCCTGTTATTACACATCTAGTACAGCGTGGCCTCTTAGTTCCTACCAACTTCCCTTACAACTCTCCCATCCTACCTGTTCAAAAACCAGGTAAGTCGTACAGGCTAGTCCAAGACCGTCATCTCATTAATCAGATTGTCCTCTCCATCCATCCTGTTGTGCCAAACCTTTATACTCTCCTATCCTCAATACCCCCTTCTACAATTCACTATTCTGTTATTGACCTCAAAGATGCCTTCTTTACCATCCCCTTACATCCCTCTTCCCAGCCTCTTTTCACTTTTACTTGCACTGACTCTGACACCCACCAGTCCCAACAACCCACCTGGACCCTTCTACCACAGGGTTTCAGAAATAGCCCACACTACTTTAGCCAGGCCCTCTCCCATGACCTGCTTTCTTTTCATCCATCTGCTTCCCATCTCATTCAATATGTGGATGACCTTCTTTGCAGCCCCTTTTACCAATCTTCCCAGCAAGATATTATCCTGCTTCTTCAACATCTCTACTCAAAGGGGTACAGAATATCCCCCTCCAAAGCTCAAATTTCTTCCCCAAGTGTTACCTATCTCGGTATAATCCTCCATCAACATATGCGTTTACTTCCGGCAGACCATATTCAGCTAATCTCCCAAACTCCAATCCCCACCACCAAACAACTCCTCCTTCTTAGGCATTGTTGGATACTTCCGCCTTTGGATACCAGGTTTTGCCATCCTAACCAAACCATTCTGTAAACTCACAGAAGGAAATTTAGCTGAACCCATAGATCCTAAATCCTTCCCTTGCCCCTCCTTTTACTCTGTAAAAAAGGCCCTAGAGACAGCCCCCACTCTAGCGCTCCCCAACTCCTCTCAACCCTTCTTCCTTCACACAGCAGACATGCAGGGCTACGCTATAGATATTCTTACTCAGGGACCAGGCCTGCAACCATTAGCCTATTTATCCAAACAGCTTGATCGTACAGTCCTGGGCTAGCCATCATGTTTGCACGCCACAGCGGCAACAGCCCTTATACTCTTAGAGTCTCTCAAAATCACAGACTATGCCTCACTTACCCTTTATAGCTCTGACAATCTCCTAGACTTAGTTTCCTCTTCACGCATAAAACACATATTCTCGGCCCCCTGCGTCCTCCAACTCTATTCACACTTTATCAAAAATCCCATGGTAACCATTGCCTTTGGACTGGACTTCAACCTGGCCTCTCACTTAATACCCACTACAAATCCTGATCCCCACAACTCTATTTCCTTAATCCACATAGCCTCCTCTTCTTTTCCCCATATTTCCCTTTTCCCTATCCCTGACCCAGACCACATTTGGTTTATTGACGGCGGTTCTTGAAAAACCAGTTGATCATCACCAGGTAAAGCTAGCTATGCTGTTGTGTCTCACTCATCTATCATTGAAACTGCCACACTCCCCCCATCTGCAGCCTCTCAACAAGCTAAATTAATAGCACTAACTCCTGCCCTAACTCTTACCAAAGGACTGCATGTTAGTATCTATACCAAATCCAAATATGCCTTCCATATTCTCCACCACCATGCTGTCATCTGGGCAGAAAGAGGTTTTCTCACTACACAAGGGCCCTCTATTATCAATGCTCACTTAATAAAAGCCCTCCTTTAAGCTGCCCTCCTTCCAGCCAAAGCTGGAGTAATCCGCTGCAAAGGACACCAAAACACCTCTGACCCCATTGCCCCAGGAAATACCTATGCCGATAAAACAGCCAAAAACGCAGCAAACTCCCCGGTATCTGCTCCCAGTGGCTAATATTTCTCTTTCTCATCTATCACTCCTACCTACTCTCCTTCCAAAACCTTAACCTACCAGTCACTTCCCACTCAAGACAACTGTTTTTTAGATCATGGAAAGCTCATTCTCCCTGCGTCTCAAGCTTACTCTGTCCTTTCGTCCTTTCACGACCACTTCCATGTAGAATATAAACCTTTAATCCGCTTTTTAGAACCTCTCATTTCTTTTCCAGCCTGGAAATCCATACTTAAAACAATCACCTCTCAATGTGCTATATGCCACTCTACTACCCCCCAGCTCTTTCCCAAACCTCCTCCTTTCCCTATGCATCAAGCACGAGGGTTCACCCCTGCGCAAGATTTGCAAATTGACTTTACTCATATGCCCCATGTCCAGAAACTCAAATACCTCCTGGTTTGGGTCAACACCTTGACCAGATGGGTTCTGGCTTTTCCCAGGAGGTCTAAAAAAGCCAGGGCCATTATTTTGTCTCTTCTAACAGACATAATCCCCCGGTTTTGTCTCCCTACTTCCATACAGTCTGATAACAGGCCGGCCTTCATTAACCAGCCGTTGGTATCCAATGGAATCTTTATGCCCCCTATCACCCTCAGTCCTCTGGAAAAGTAGAGAAAGCCAACGGCCTTTTAAAAACACACCTCGCTAAACTTACCCTCCAGCTTCAGAAAGACTGGACCACTCTTCTACCCCTTGCACTCCTCCTAATTCGAGCCACACCCCAGGAACCCACCAGGTACAGTCCATTTAAACTCTTATATGGTCGCACCTTTCTGCTTGGGCCCAACCTTATTCCAAACACCAGCCCTCTTGGTGATTATCTTCTTGTCCTTCAACAGGCTAGACATAAAATCTGCCAAGCTGCCAATTTCCTGTTACCTACTCCAGAGACCCAGTGATATGAAGACACCCTAGCTGGACTGTCAGTTCTCGTTAAGAACCTAACCCCTCAAACTCTACAACCTCTGTGGACAGGATCCTACCTGGTCATCTATAGTACCCCAACAGTGGTCAGTCTACAGAATCCTCCCCACTGGATTCATCGCTCCAGGATAAAACTATGCCCATCTGACGACCAGCCTAGCTCCTCCACCTCCTCCTGGAAGTCACAAGTACTCTCTCCTACTTCCCTTAAACTTACCCGCATTCCTGAAAAAGAACAATAAACCTGTATACCTTTTATTTACAGTAGACCTTTACACAGTCACCCCACTATTTAAACTCTGTCTACTTATGCCCCTAATCACCATTCTCACCTACTTCTAAATGCCCTGCTTTTGTCTATACTGCCAGTTCACGCTTTTCCTCCAGACCATTGTAGCTGATACCTCATGGAGTCACCCTCCAGCTGCTACCCTTAACTCTCTCTTAGAGTGGATAGATGACCTTCTGTGGCAAAGTACTCTCCAATTCTTCCATCCTGATGAAGTTCTTTTCTTTTATACTTACTCTTTGTCTTACTCCCGTTCTCCTGCCACCCTCTATCCCTCCCTAATTATCTCCAGAATACCATCAACCTCACCCACTCCCTCTTCACCATCTCCAATCCTTCCTATGCATTTCCCTCTCTTCCTCCTACTATACAGGTGTCCCTGCCCTGCCAGCCCACTGGGCAACTTCCCCCATCTCCCTATACCTCCAAACCTCTTTCAGTGACCCCCAACTTTACCCTCCTGAACAACTTCTTTACTTCCTAGAAAAATTCAGCAAAAACTCCCCTGATACCTCATACCAACAAGCTGCTGCTCTCCTCCATACCTACCTACGAAATCTATCTCCCTACGTCACTTCCACACCTCCTGTTCTTGGACCCCTCACTATACAAACAACTATCCCCATTGCTGCCCCCTTATGCATCTCCCTACAATTACCTGCTGGAATTCCCTTGGGTTACCTCCCATCTTCCTTATGTTCCTTTACTCTTTACCTCCAAGGCCCTGCCACCCACATTAACCAAAATATTGGAGCATTCCAGCTTCGTATTACAGAAAAGCCCTCCCTCATCACTAACACTCTTAAAAACATCAGTAGCAACTTTTGCCTAGGAAGACATTTACCCTGGCTCTCACTCCATCCTTGGCTATCCTTCCCCTGTTCAATGGATTCCCCTCCAAGGCCTTCTGCCTGCCTGTTTATACCTAGTCTTATAAATAACAGTGAATGGCTACTTACAGATACCAAATTCTTTTTTTCACACCATTAAAACAGAACCTCTCCCTCTACACAGTTATCCTACCAAACCCCACTACAACCTCTAATAGCCGCTGCCCTTGCTGGATCCCTAGGGCTCTGGGTGCAGGACTCTGCTTCCAGAACACACTCTCATTTTTTTTACTCTCCACTTCCAGTTATGCCTGCCTCATGGACTCTTTTTGTTTCTGTTGGTTTTTCCGCATACATGTGCCTCCCTGCCAATTGGACAGGCACCTTCACTTTAATCTTCCTTACTCCCAAGATCGAGTTTACAAATGGAAACAAACAACTCCCCATTCCCCTCATAACTCCAACATGACAAAAAAAAAAAAAAAAAAAAAGTCATCCCATTAACTCCCTTGCTTGTAGGATTAGGAGTTTCAGCCACTGCCAGTGGAACAGGAATAGCAGGTCTTATAACTTCCATCAACACGTTTTGCAGTCTTTTCAGTGACTTCTCCACTAGCCTTACTGATATAACTCAAACACTTTCTGTCCTCCAAACCCAGGTCGATTCCTTAGCCGCAGCTGTCCTCCAAAATCGCCAAGGCCTCGATCTGCTTACTGCTGACAAAGGAGGACTCTGCCTATTCTTAAATGAAGAGTGCTGCTTTTACTTAAATCAATCAGGCCTTGTATATGACAACATTAAAAAACTTAAAGACAGAGCCCAAAAGCTCACTAATCAGGCAAATAGTTATACTGGCACTACCTGGCCATTCTCTAGCTTAGATTCATGGTTCCTTCCACTGACAGGCCCCTTTGCACTCATCCTTCTCCTCATCTTATTGGGACTTTGTCTTTTTAGACTCATCTCTCAGTTCATACAAAATCGCATCCAAGCTATTACTAATCAGTCAGTACGACAAATGCCCCTTCTAGCAACTGCACAGTATCCCCCTTACCCCAAGATCTTTCTTCTGTTTAATCTCTCCCACCTTAGGTTCCCACGCCGTCCCTAAGCCTGCTCGAAGAAGCCCTGAAAAACATCGCCCATCATCTCTCCATACCATCCCCAAAATTTTCACCACCCCAACATTTCACTACTTTTTCTTGTTTTGTTTTGTTAGCATAAAAAGACAGGAATGTAAGGTCCTCTGAGCAGGCGGCGCCATGGTCAAGCCATCGTGACCCCTGTGACTCACACGTACACATCCAGAAGGTCTCCTGGAGCCAGAAAGTCTGGGACGACAGGAAAACCACAAAAGAAGAAAAACGGCTAGTTCCTGTCTTAGCTGATCAGCCAACCTTGTGACATTCTATCATTGTAACAGGCTGTACCCTAACTGATCAATCAACCTCATGACACTGTGCTCTGTAACCTTATGATAATGTACCTTATGACATTCTTCCCCTGCCCTCAATAAACAGCTCCGAACTATAACTTTCCACTGCTTACCCCTAAAGTATAAAACTAGCTCCAACCCCACCACTTCCTTTTCGGACTCAGCCCACCCGCACCCAGTGAATAAACAACCTTGTTGCTCACACTTAGCCTGTTCAGGGTGTCTCTTCAATTAGACGCACACATAACAGACAGATTAACAAGAAAAACACATACAGATTAATTTAATATAAATTTTTTTTTATTATACTTTAAGTTTTAGGGTACATGTGCACATTGTGCAGGTTAGTTACATATGTATACATGTGCCATGCTGGTGCGCTGCACCCACTAACTCGTCATCTAGCATTAGGTATATCTCCCAATGCTATCCCTCCCCCCTCCCCCCACCCCACCACAGTCCACAGAGGGTGATATTCCCCTTCCTGTGTCCATGTGATCTCATTGTTCAATTCCCACCTATGAGTGAGAATATGTGGTGTTTGGTTTTTTGTTCTTGCGATAGTTTACTGAGAATGATGATTTCCAATTTCATCCATGTCCCTACAAAGGACATGAACTCATCATTTTTGATGGCTGCATAGTATTCCATGGTGTATATGTGCCATATTTTCTTAATCCAGTCTATCATTGTTGGACATTTGGGTTGGTTCCAAGTCTTTGCTATTGTGAACAGTGCCGCAATAAACATACGTGTGCATGTGTCTTTATAGCAGCATGATTTATAGTCATTTGGGTATATACCCAGTAATGGGAGGTCTGGGTCAAATGGTATTTCTAGTTCTAGATCCCTGAGGAATCGCCACACTGACTTCCACAATGGTTGAACTAGTTTACAGTCCCACCAACAGTGTAAAAGTGTTCCTATTTCTCCACATCCTCTCCAGCACCTATTGTTTCCTGATTTTTTAATGATTGCCATTCTAACTGGTGTGAGATGGTATCTCACAGTGGTTTTGATTTGCATTTCTCTGATGGCCAGTGATGATGAGCATTTTTTCATGTGTTTTTTGGCTGCATAAATGTCTTCTTTTGAGAAGTGTCTGTTCATGTCCTTCGCCCACTTTTTGATGGGGTTGTTTGTTTTTTTCTTGTAAATTTGTTTGAGTTCATGGCAGATTCTGGATATTAGCCCTTTGTCAGATGAGTAGGTTGCAAAAATTTTCTCCCATTTTGTAGGTTGCCTGTTCACTCTCATGGTAGTTTCTTTTGCTGTGCAGAAGCTCTTTAGTTTAATTAGATCCCATTTGTCAATTTTGTCTTTTGTTGCCATTGCTTTTGGTGTTTTGGACATGAAGTCCTTGCCCATGCCTATGTCCTGAATGGTAATGCCTAGGTTTTCTTCTAGGGTTTTGGAGGAATCACACTACCTGACTTCAAACTATACTACAAGGCTACAGTAACCAAAACAGCATGGTACTGGTACCAAAATAGAGATATAGATCAATGGAACAGAACAGAGCCCTCAGAAATAACACGCATATCTACAACTAACTGATCTTTGACAAACCTGAGAAAAACAAGCAATGGGGAAAGAATTCCCTATTTAATAAATGGTGCTGGGAAAACTGGCTAGCCATATGTAGGAAGCTGAAACTGGATCCCTTCCTTACACCTTATACAAAAATCAATTCAAGATGGATTAAAGATTTAAACTTTAGACCTAAAACAATTTAATATAAATTTTAAATGTCATGGGAGCCTTCAAAGATAAAGACCCAAAGAAACAGGGGAAAGTATATATTTTTATGCTTAGGTTTGATGAAGAGTGTGTATGTAGAAGTATGATTAGAAAAAACAGGTATAATTTAATGGTAATAAACTAGGGAGTGGGCATGGGAACATGGCAAGGCCTGTCTGTTCAGATTCTTCCCTGCCTTTGTGCCTTCCTGTCCTTTCCTCTATAAGTATAGGGAGCATCACTCTGAAAGGATGGTCTTAAGTCCTACTTTAGAGGAAAGGCAGATAATTATTTTATGGCCTGTTTTAGGGGAGGGAGAACAGTGGGAGAAGGTCAGAGAGACCTTTCTGCTTCTGCTGTTTTTGCAAATGCCAAGGTGTTATATTTTGTGGTAGCATATCCTGAACCCCATCACAAACTCATTTTATGAGGCCAGCATTACCCCATACCAAAATCATAAAAACACATACAAAGAGAAAACTATTATAGAGCCCAATATCTTCCATAAGTGTAAATTTTAAAAGTCTTTAAAAATATTAGCAAATTAAATTATTAATATGTAAGATAATGGTGAAACGGCCTTTGCAAAATTATAGCTGAGGAAATTATGACAGTGAAAGAAATCAGACCTAACCGACTCTATCTTGCTTCTAATCCTCAAGCTGCCCTTGTTCATTCCTGAGCATAGGCTGAACTAATGTTGGGAATGAATTTAGTTCATATTTTGACTCTGACACAAAATTGATAATAGCCCTTTACCCGAAAAGACCCCCTTCTTTGCAGGACTAACAAATTAGCTACAAGATTGGAAATTACAATTTATGGGAAATGCAGCCTCTGGCTGCAAGAGTCTGAACCTCCCCAAATTGCTCCTGGGGATAACATCATTATTGTAAAACCTAAGAACAGAGCTTGAAATATTTTGCAGACCCTGCACTCCATGGATCAGCTGATACGACCCAGACCAGTAATCTGGCCCAACCAGTTCTGCCATCACACCCAGGAACAGAAGACATTAAGAAAACCTAACTTCAACCCCCTATAATTCCATTTCCAACCTGACTAATCAGTACTCCCCACTTCCCAAGCCCCTACCCGCCAAATTATCTTTAAAAACTCTGATCCCTGAATGCTCGTGGAGGCCTATTTGAGTAATAATAAAACTCTGGTTTACCGCACAACTGGCTCTGTGCGAATTACTCTTTCTCCATTGCAATTCCCCTGTCTTGATAAATCGGTTCTGTCTAGGCAGCTGGCAAGGTGAATCTATAGGGCGGTTACAATAGTACATTATAAATAAAGCAAGGCTGGCTTAGCCTTCAAAAATTAATCAATACAAGCCATGGTACTAACAAAATAAAGTAGAATAACCATATATATATATGTTTTTTTAGCTACAAAATAATTATTGATAAAAATCCCACATCCAATAATAATATGAACTCTTTCATTTGCAACCTGGAAGTATAAAGAAATGGGCTCAACCTGATAAAGGGGATCTACAAAAAATCCTGTAGCAATATTACATTTGGTGTGAAAGACTAAATATTTTTTCTCCATAGTTGGTGAAAAGAGAAAGGGTATTTATCCTCATCACTTCTATTCAACATTAGATTAGTGATTCTAAACAGTGAAATAAGTCAAGAAAAGTATATTTAAATAATTTTGTAATACATGAAGTTAAACTTACTATTCATAGACCACCCGGTAATTTTCATGGAAAGCCATAAGAAAGCTACAAAAATAATGACTAGAATTTGTAAACAAAAGAATAAAATTCTATGACCCTCAAACATCTGAATGGACTTAGTCCTCAGCCAGGGGTCTTTTAAAATTTAATCTGTAAGACTGGTTCAGGCCATGACTTGGACATGCTTCATTTTACTTCTCTGGCGTTAACATCAACACAGACTTTAATTCTGATAAGAAACATTTTACAACCTATTCTCTCTAAAGCATGCTACCTGGAGTCTTCATCTGCATGATAAAACTTTGGTCTCCACAAACTCTTATCACAACCCAGACATTCCTTTCTATTGATTCCAGGTCTTTGGATAAACTCAACCAATTGTCAACCAGAAAATTTTTAAATCTAAATAATAAGCTGTAAGCTCCGCCCCCTTCAAGTTGTTCTGTCTTTCTGGGTCAAACCAATGTATTTCTTAAATGTATTTGATTGAAGTCTCATGCCTCCCTAAAGTGTACATAACCAAGCAGTACCCTGACCAGCATGAGCACATGTTCTCAGGACCTCCTGAGAGCTGTGTCATGGGCCATGGTCGCTCATATTTGGCTCAGAATAAATCTCTTCAAATATTTTACAGAGTTTGACTCTTTTTATCGACAAATTAATAAATAAATTTAGACTCGTCTTAGGATACAAAGTAGTGCAAAAACCCACTGCATTTCTATAAGCTATCAGCAAACTATTTGAAAATGAAAAATTAAAATAACATGGAAAATAGGATCCTAAGTCATGTCACAGTTAGGAATATATTCACCATAACATATGCATAATCTGTACAATTAAAAAAGCCAAACTATTGCTTAATTAAACTAAAGATCTATCATATAATTAAGCCTCAGAAATCTGTTTTTTAGTTTGCCTGCATCCCTAGGCTGTAACATTCACATGTGCCTTACCCAACTGCCCCCACAACACTACCACTTAGGTGAGACAGAAAAGCTTCAAGATCTGCAGTTGGATAATCGCTCTTCTGCCTATGTGAGGTAAACTTTGTTAAAGTCTTTTTCCCTGGGCAGTTGGCTTTTGTTAGAGAGAATAAACTCTCCATATTTTTATATGACTACTATTCCCTTTTCTCTGCCAGGCACATGGCAATGTTTATTGATTCTTGACTGTGAGAATGTGGTAAGGTACCTAGAAGCAAAACCTGCAATAGAATATGGTCCCTGAAGTTGTGGGATTCAAAAGCTTTTCACTCTGAAAAGTAGTCTAAACCAAGCCACCAGCAGCCTATTTTATTGATTATCTTTTATTAAAATTAAAGTCATTTTATGTCCTGTGGGAAAAAAAATCTTATACTTTGAATTGAATAGTTATTTTACTTTGCATTAGTCAATAATTAAATAATGTATGTATATATTTGTGTGTGTTTATACACTTGATAAGTACTAAACATAAAAAGTAAAATTTTACTGAAAATGCATGCATTTTTCTCTTAATGGCAGAGGTAGTTGTGTGATTGAACACTTCTTATTTTTAAAATGAGACAGGATTCAGAATAAAATCTAGTCTGCAAGCACTGAGAGTCTGTGATAATGGTTAATTTTGTGTTAATGTTGCTGAGTCATGGTGCACAGATATGTGATCAAGCATTATTCTGGATATTTCTGTGAGGGTGTGTTTGGATGTCATGGACATTTAAATTGATGGACCTAAATAAAGCAGATTGCCCTCCATAATGTGGGTGGGCCTTATGTAATCAGTTGACAGACTGAATAGAACAAAATGACCTACCTACTCTGAGCAAGAAGAAGCCTGTCAGCAGAGAGGCTTCAGACTTGAGCTGCAACACTGGTTGTTTCCTGGACCTCCAGCCTGATGACCTCTGGACTTGAACTGCAAATTTTGGATTTGCCAGCTTCTGTAATCATATGAGCCAATTCTGTAAATCAATCTCTCTGTCTCTCTCTCTCATATATATATGGGATTTGTATTATGACATTACAATATGTCATATCATGACATATCATAATATCTCATGTTGTTTCTTTTTATGTAGAAACACTATTACGGAGTCCTTGTTCAAATTACTCAATCCTTCAAACTTTGTTTATATTATAAACATAAGTCATAAAAAATTGTCAATAAAATTATTTTTATGTTCTGTTAGCTGACAACTTTATAGCTCTTCTTTCAAATTTCTTGAAACCAAGAATTAGGAACAACTAGAATTTTACAGGGATTTTTAACATGTTCATCACACTTATTCACTTTCTACTATCTGAGAAAAATACCAAAAATATCTTTTGATCTTAGAAAATGACTAGTACATGTAACTTATACACATTCACTTAAAAACATTTTAAACTTTTCTTTTAATTTAATTTAATTTAATTTTAAGTTCCAAGATACATGGGAGGGATGTGCAGGTTTATTACATAGGCAAACATGTGCCATGGAGATTTGCTGCACCTATCAACCCATCACCTAAGTATTAAGACCAGCATACATTAGCTATTTATTCTGATGCTCTCCCTCCCTCCACCTTCCTCTGACAGGCCCCAGTGTGTGTTATTCCCTCCCTGTGTCCACTTGTTCTCTTTGTTCAGCACCCACTTATAAGTGAGAGCATGTGGTGTTTGGTTTTCTGCTCCTGTGTTAGTTTCCTGAGAATAATGGTTTCTAGCTTCATCCACGTCCCTGCAAAGGACATGTTCTCATTCCTTTTTACAGTTACATAGTATTCCAAGGTGTATGTGTACTCTATTTTCTTTATCCCGTTTGTCTTTGATGGGCATTTGGGTTGATTCCATGTTTTTGCTGTTGTGAATAGTGCTGGAAAGAACATACACATGCATGTATCTTTAGAAAAGAATGATTTATATTCCTTTGAGCATATACCCAGTAATGGGATTGCTGGGTCAAGTGGTATTTCTAGTTCTAGGTCTTTGAGGAATCATCATGCTGTCTTCCACAATGATTGAACTAATTTACACTCCCACGAATAGTGTAAAAGCACTCCTGTTTCTCCACAGCCTCACCTGCATCTGTTGTTTTTTGACTTTTTAGTAATCACCATTCTAAATGGCGAGAGATGATATTTTTGTGGTTTTGATTTGCATTTTTCTAATGATTAGTGATATTGCGCTTTTTTTCATGTTGCTTGGCCACATAAATGTCTTCTTTTAAGAAGTGTCTGTTTATGTTTTTTGCCCACTTTTTAATTTTTTTTCTTGTAAATTTGTTTAACTTTCTTTTAGTTTCTGGATATTAGACTTTTGTCTGATGGATAGGTTGTAAAAATATTCTCCCATTTTATAGGTTATCTCTTCACTCTGATGAAAGCTTCTTTTTGTCAGGCCTCTGAGCCCAAGCTAAGCCATCATATCCCTTGCCACATGCACATATACATCCAGATGGCCTGAAGCAAATGAAGAATCACAAAAGAAGTGAAAATGGCCGGTTCATGCCTTAACTGATAACATTCCACCATTGTGATTTGTTCCTGCCCCACCTTAATTGAGTGATTAACCTTGTGAAATTCCTTCTCCTGGCTCAGAAGCTCCCCCACTGAGCACCTTGTGACCCCTACCCCTGCCTGCAAGAGAAAAATCCCATTTGACTATAATTTTCCACTATCCACCCAAATCCTATAAAACGGCCCTACCCCTATCTCGCTTTGCTGACACTCTTTTCAGACTCTCTTTTCAGACTCAGCTTGCCTGCACCCAGGGGAAATAAACAGCTTTATTGCTCACACAAAGCCTGTTTGGTGGGCTCTTCACCTGGACGCACGTGACATTTGGTGCCGTGACTCAGATCAGGAGACCTCCCTTGGGAGATCAATTCCCTGTCCTCTTGCTCTTTGGTCCATGAGAAAGATCCACCTACGACCTCCAGTCCTCAGACCAACCAGCCCAAGGAACATCTCACCAATTTTAAATCAAGTAAGCGGCCTCTTTTTACTCTCTTATCCAACCTCTGTCACTATCCCTCAACCTCTTTCTACTTTCAATCATGGCGCCATCCTTCAATCTCTCACTTCTCTTAATTTCAATTCCTTTCCTTTTCTGGTAGAGACAGAGGAGATGCGTTTTATCCGTGAAACCAAAATTCCGGTTCCAATCACAGACTCAGGAAGACAGTCTTCCCTTGGCGTTTAATCACTGCGGGGACACCTGCTTGATTATTCACCCACGTTTCAGAGGTGTCTGATCACCGTGGGTATGCCTGCCTTGATCCTTCACCCTTAGTGGCAAGCACCACTTTCCCGGGGGGCAAGCACCCCCCCCCCCACACCCCTTCTCTCTGTGTCTCTACCCTCTCTTTTCTCTGGGCTTGCCTCCTTCACTATGGGCAACCTTCCACCCTCCATTCCTCCTTCTTCTCCCTTAGTCTGTGCTCTCAAAAACTTAAAACCTCTTCAACTCAAACCTGACCTAAAACCTAAATGCCTTATTTTCTTCTGCAATGCCACTTGACCCCAGTACAAACTTGACAATGGTTCCAAATAGCCAGAAAATGGCACTTTCTATTTTTCCATACTACAAGATCTAGATTATTTTTGTCATAAAATGGGCAAACGGTCTGAGATGCCTGACGTCCAGACATTCCTTTACATATTGATCCCTCCCTAGTCTCTGTTCCCAATGCAACTCATCCCAAATCTTCCTTCTTTCCCTCCCGCCTGTCCCCTAAGTCCCAATCCCAAGCATTGCTGAGTCTTTCCAATCTTCATTTTCTACCAGCCCATCTGACCTCTCCCCTCCTCCCCAGACTGCCCCAGGTCACTCCCCTCCAGGCTGAATCAGGCTCCAAATCTTCCTCAGCCTTCTCTCCCCCACCCTTCTATCACCTCCTCTCCCCACACCCCATTCGGCTTACAGTTTCATTCCGAGACTAGCCTTCTCCCACCTGCCCAACGGTTCCTCTTAAGGAAGTGACTGGAGCTAAAAGCATAGTCAAGGTTAATGCTCCTTTTTCTTTATCCGACCTCTCCCAAATCAGTTAGCATTTAGGCTCTTTTTCATCAAATATAAAAACCCAGCCCAGTTCATGGCTTGTTTGGCAGCAACCCTGAGATGCTTTACAGCCCTAGACCCTGAAAGGTTAGAAGGCCGTCTTAGTCTCAATATGCATTTTATTACCCAATCTGCTCCCGACATTAAATAAATCTCCAAAAATTGGATTCTGGCCCTGAAACCCCACAACAGGACTTAATTAACCTCACCTTCAAGGTGCACAATAATAAAGAAGAGTTGCAATTACTTGCCTCTGCTGCGAGAGAAATCCCAGCCATATCTCCAGCACACAAGAACTTCAAAACGCCTAAGCCAGAGTGGTCAGGCATTCCTTCAGGTCCTCCTCCCCCAGCATCTTCTTTCAAGTATCAGAAATCTGGCCACTAGGCCAAGGAATGCCTGCAGCCCAGGATTCCTCCTAAGCCATGTCCCATCTATGTGGGACCCCACTGGAAATCAGACTATCCAACTGGCCCAAGGCTCTGACTGACTCCTTCCCAGATCTTCTCAGCTTAGCGGCTAAAGACTGATGCTGCCTGATTGCCTTGGAAGCCTCCTGGACCATCACAGACACTTTGGGTAACTCTTACAGTGGAAGGTAAGTCCGTCCCCTTCTTAATCAATACGGGGGCTACCCACTCCACATTACCTTCTTTTCAAGGGCCTGCTTCCCTTGCCTCCATAACTGTTGTTGGTATTGATGGCCAGGCTTCTAAACCTCTTAAAACTCCCCAACTCTGGCACCAACTTGGACAATATTCTTTTATGCACTTCTTTTTAGTTATCCCCACCTTCCCAGTTCTCTTAGTAGGACAAGACATTTTAACTAAATTATCCGCTTCCCTGACTATTCCTACGCAAGAGCCACACCTCATTGCCGACCTTTTCCCCAGTTCAAAGCCTCCTTCGCATCCTCCCCTTGTATCTCCCTACTTTAATCCACCTCCCTCCTTGGTGACTGATCATGCACCCCTTACCATCCCATTAAAACCTAATCACCCTTACCTCGCTCAACGTCAGTATCCCATCCCACAGCACGCTTTAAAAGGATTAAAGCCTGTTATCACTCTCCTGTTACAGCATGGCCTGTTAAAGCCTATAAACTCTCCTCACAACTCCCCCATTTTACCTGTCCAAAAACCACACAAGTCTTACAAATTAGTTCAGGATCTGCACCTTATCCAACCAAATTGTTTTGCCTATCCACCCTGTGGTGCCAAACTCATATACTCTCTTACTGAGCATTAACCTTGACTATGCTTTTAGCTCCAGTCACTTCCTTAAGAGGAACTGTTGGGCAGGTGGGAGAGGGCTAGTCTCGGAATGAAACTGTAAGCCGAATGGGGTGTGGGGAGAGGAGGTGATAGAAGGGTGGGGGAGAGAAGGCTGAGGAAGATTTGGAGCCTGATTCAGCCTGGAGGGGAGTGACCTGGGGCAGTCTGGGGAGGAGGGGAGAGGTCAGATGGGCTGGTAGAAAATGAAGATTGGAAAGACTCAGCAATGCTTGGGATTGGGACTTAGGGGACAGGCGGGAGGGAAAGAAGGAAGATTTGGGATGAGTTGCATTGGGAACAGAGACTAGGGAGGGATCAATATGTAAAGGAATGTCTGGACGTCAGGCATCTCAGACCGTTTGCCCATTTTATGACAAAAATAATCTAGATCTTGTAGTATGGAAAAATAGAAATATTGAGATACCTCCCTCCACAAACCATTATTCTGTTCTGGATATCAAACATGCTTTCTTTACTATTTCTTTCCACTCTTCATCCCAGCCTCTCTTCCCTTTCACATGGACTGACCCTGACACCCGTCAGGCTCAGCAAATTACCTGGGCTGTACTGCTGCAAGGCTTCACAGATAGCCCCCATTACTTCAGTCAAGCCCAAATTTCTTCCTCATCCATTACCTATCTCAGAATAATTCTTCATAAAAACACACCTGCTCTCCCGTCTAATCATGTCTGCCTAATCTCCCAAACCCCAACCCCTTCTACAAAACAACAACTCCTTTCCTTCTTAGGCATGATTACATACTTCCGCCTTTGGATACCTAGTTTTACCATCCTGACTAAACCATTATATAAACTCACAAAAGCAAACCTAGTTGACCCTATAAATCCTAAATCCTTTTGCCACTCCTTTCCATTCCTTAAAAACAGCCCTAGAAGCTGCTCCCACACTAACTCTCCCTAACTCATCCCAAGCCTTTTCATTACACCCAGCCAAAGTACAGGGCTGTGAGGTCAGAATTCTTACACAAGAGCTGGGACTGCACCCTGTAGCATTTCTGTCCAAACAACTTGACCTTACTGTTTAGCCTAGCCCTCACATCTGCATGAGGCAGCTGCCACTGCTCTAATACTTTTAGAGGCCCTGAAAATCATAAACAATGCTCAACTCACTCTCTACAGTTCTCATAACTTCCAAAATATATTTTCTCTCTCACACCTGACACATATACTTTCTGCCCCCATCCACTACCTCCCAGCAAGCCAAACTCATTGCCTTAACTCAAGCCCTCACTCTTGCAAAGGTACTACATGTCAATATTTATACTGACTCTAAATATGCCTTCCATATCCTGCACCACCATGCGGTTATATGGGCTGAAATACGTTTCCTCGCTACGCAAGGGTCCTCCATCATTAATGCCACTTTAATAAAAACTCTTCTCAAGGCCACTTTACTTCCAATGGGAGCTGGAGTCATTCATTGCAAGGGCCATCAAAAGGCATCAGATCCCATCGCTCAGGTCAATACTTATGCTGATAAGGTAGCTTAAAAAGCAGCTAGCGTTCCATCTTCTGTCTCTCACAGCCAATTTCTCTCCTTCTCATCAGTCACTCCCACCTACTTCCCCACTGAAACTTCCACCTATCAATCACTTCCCACACAAGGCAAATAGTTCTTGGACCAAGGAAAATATCTCCTTCCAGCCTGACAGGCCCATTCTATTCTGTCGTCATTTCATAACCATGTAAGTTACAAGCTGCTAGCCCACCTCTTAAAACCTCTCTTTTCCTTTCCATTGTAAAAATTTATCCTCAAAAAATCACTTCTCAGTGTTCCGTCTGCTATTCTACTACTCCTCAGGAATTTCTCAGGCTCCCTCCCTTCCCTACACATCAAGTTCGGGAATTTGCCCTTGCCCAGGACTGGCAAATTGACTTTACTCACATGCCCTGAGTCAGGAAACTAAAATACCTCTTGGTCTGTGTAGACACTTTCACTGGATGGGTAGAGGCCTTTCCCAACAGGGTCTGAGAAGGCCACCAAGGTCATTTCTTCCCTTCCGTTAGACATAATTCCTTGGTTTGGCCTTCCCACCTCTATACAGTCCAATAACGGACCGGCCTTTACTAGTCAAACCACCCAAACAGTTTCTCAGACTCTTGGTATTCAGTGGAAACTTCATACCCTTTACCATCCTCAGTCTTCAGGAAAGGTAGAACGGACTAATGGTCTTTTAAAGACACACCTCACCAAGCTCAGCCTCCAACTTAAAAAGGACGGGACAGTACTTTTACCTCTTGCCCTTCTCAGAATTAGATCCCTCAGGATGCTACAGGGTACAGCCCATTTGAACACCTGTATGGGTGCTCCTTTTTTATTAGGCCCCAGTCTCATTCCAGACACCAGCCCAACTTGGACGGCACCCCAAAAACTTGTCATCCCTTCTATCTTCTGTTTAGTCATACTCCTATTCACCATTCTCAACTACTCATAGATGCCCTGTCCTTGTTTACACTGCCGGTTTACACTTTTCCCTCAAACCATCATAACTGACATCTCCTGATTTTACCTAAAACTGCCACACTTAAGTCTCTTTTAAAGTGGATAATCTTTGCTGACAGAGTACACTCCAATACTTTCACCCTGATGAAGTCCTATTCTTTACTTTTATACTCTCTCTTATTCTCGTTCCCATTCTTATGCCACCCTCTACCTCTCCCCAGCTATCTCCACCACACTATCAATCTCACTCACTCTCTCCTAGCCATTTCTAATCCTTTAACAAACAATTGCTGGCTTTGCATTTCTCTTTCCTCCAAAATCACCGAGGCCTCTACTTATTCACTGCTAAAAAAAAAAAGAGGATTCTATATATTTTTAAATAAAGAGTGTTGTTTTTACCTAAATCAATCTGGCCTGGTGTATAACAACATAAAAAAACTCAAAGACTCAACTTACTCACTGTTAAAAAGAGGGGACTCCGTATATTTTTAAAGAAAAGTGTTGTTTTTACCTGAATCTATCTGGCCTGGTATATGACAACATAAAAAAACTCAAGGATAGAGTCTAAAAACTTGCCAACCAAGCAAGTAATTAGGCTGAACTCCCTTGGGAACTCTCTAATTAGATGTCCTGTGTCTTCCCAATTCTTAGTCCTTTAATACCTATTTTTCTTCTTCTCTTATTCAGACCTTGTGTCTTCCGTTTAGTTTTTCAGTTCACACAAAACTGCATCCAGGCCATCACCAATCATTCTACACGACAAATGCTGCTTTTAACAACCCCACAGTATTGCCCCTTACCATAAAATTTTCCTTCAGCTTTATCTCTCCTATTCTAGGTTTCCACGCAATCCCTAATCCTGCTCAAAGCAGCCCTGAGAAACATTGCCCATTATCTCTCCATACCACACCCCACCCCCAAATTTTCTCTGCCCCAACACTTCAACACTATTTTATGTTATTTTTCTTATTAATATAAAAAGACAGGAATGTCAGGCCTCTGAGCCCAAGCTAAGCCATCATATCCCCTGTGACCTGCATGTATACATCCAGATGGCCTGAAGCAAGTGAAGAATCACAAAATAAGTAAAAATGGCCCATTCCTGCCTTAACTGTTGACATTCCACCATTGTGATTTGTTCCTGCCCCACCTTAACTGAGTGATTAACCTTGTGAAATTCCTTCTCCTGGCTCAGAAACTCCCCCACTGAACACCTTGTGACCCCCACCCCTGCCTGCAAGAGAAAAATCCCCTCTGACTGTAATTTTCCACTACCCACCCAAATCCTATAAAACGGCCCCACCCCTATCTCCCTTTGCTGGCTGTCTTTTTGGACTCAGCCCACTTGCACCCAGGTGAAATAAATAGTTTTATTGCTCACACAAAGCCTGTTTGGTGGGCTCTTCACATGGACGCATGTGACACTTTTGCCCTGCAGAAGCTCTTTACTTTTCCATGTGTTCATTTTTGCTTTTGTTGAAATTGCTTTTGAGATTTTTATTATTAAATATTTGCCTGTGCCTATGTTTTGAATGGTATTGCCTAGATTTTCTTCTAGGGTTCTTATAGTTTTGGGTTTTACATTTCAATCTTTAATCCATCTTAAGTTAATTTTTGTATAAGGTGTAAGGAAGGGGTCCAGTTTCAATTTTCTGCTTATGGCTAGCCAGTTTTCCCAGAACCATTTATTAAATAGGGAATTCTTTCCCTATTGCTTGTTTTTGTCAGGTTTGTCAAAGATCAGATGGTCGTAGATGTGAAGTCTTAATTTCTGAGATCTCTATTCTGTTCTGTTGTTCTATGTGTCTGTTTTTGTACCAGTCCCATACAGTTTTGTTTACTATAGCCTTGCATTATAGTTTGAAGTTGGCTAGGATAATGCCTCCAGCTTTGTTCTTTTTGCTTAGGATTATCTTGGCTATACAGCTCTGTTTTTGTTCCATATGAATTTAAAATTTTTTATTTCTAATGCTGTGAAGAATGTCAATGTTAGTTTAATGGGAATATCATTGAATCTATAAATTACTTTGGGCAGTATGGCCATTTTCACAATATGATTCATCCTATCTATGAATGTGAAGTGTTTTTCCATTTGTTTCTGTCCTCTCTGATTTCCTTGGGCAGTGGTTTGTAGTTACCCTTGAAGAGGTCCTCACTTTTCTTGTTAGTTGTATTTCTAGGTATTTTATTCTCTTTGTAGCAATTGTGAATGAGAGTTCATTCATGATTTGGCTCTTTGCATGTCTATTGCTGGTGTATAAAAATGCTTGTGATTTTTGCATATTGCTTTTGTATCCTGAGATCTTGCTGAAGTTGTTTATCACCTTAAGGAGCTTTGGGCCTGAGACAATGAGGTTTTCTAGATATAGGATCAGCTCATCTGCAAAGAGAGACAGTCTTATTTCCTCTCTTCCTTTTTGAATACGCTTTATTTCTTTCTCTTGCCTGATTGCCCTGGACAGAACTTCCAATGCTATGTTGAATAAGAGTGGTGAGAGATGGCATCCTTGTCTTATGCTGGTTTTCAAGGGGAATGCCTCCAGCTTTTTCACATTCAGTGTAATATTGGCTGTGGGTTTGTCATAAATGGCTCTTATTATTTTGAGGTAAAAACATTTTAAACTTGATATGCTCAAAAAAACAATAGCAAAATTTAATTGAAATATTGTAATTATACCCTTTCCCTTTTACAAACAAAATGTTTTGATAAAATACATTTATTATACACCATGCCTTAAATGTATTTGTGTTAATCACTGGAACTCTAGATTCAGCTTTTCAATGAAACATATTCACAGTATAGACTAATTGTTAAAGGCAGTACTCATTTTCAAGCTAGTCAGTCAAATTAGAATTGCTTTTTATGAGGAGAAAGTCTGAACTTATTTTGTTGCCTATAACATGTTATTATATGACTTCCTATGAAAAAAAATCATCTGACCCCTAAATTATAAGAAAAATATATAAGTAAACATAATAAGGCATCATAGGAGTCTTGCCACGAATTTGCTATTTGAATGGAATGCACTCACTCTTAAATGCATCTTATTGACATTCTTTACTTTCTTTTCATGAAATGCTGCCTAAAAATTATGTGAATATAAGCCCTTGAATCAAATTTCTTATTATTTCTGCCAATCATACCTTACATTAAACCTACATTTATAATTCAAAATATTTTCTCACATAACCTGGTTGTGATGCCAAACTTTTCCCTGAGCAGGACCACGCACGGGACATGGAAGAACATAGTGTCTTACTGCAAGTATCTGAAATCTTGACAAAAGGTGGTCTCTCTAACTCCAGCATATTTTTTAGTCTTTAGATTTTCAAATTCTTTTAATCTGTCCACTTGAAATTTTTCTTTTTACAACTGGGCAATCAATCATAATAAGGCTCAGGATGAATTAGAGATATGCCTACCTTTGTTTAAGTAGAATAATGGTGATCATGAAAATTGAGGTGGAAAATAAAAATCACCAGGATTTCTGGAACAAAACAAATTTTGTCATAAAAATATTTACGTCTTTATTTTATTTTATTTTTATATCAAATTATAGATATATGATTATATACTTCTGAAAGTCCTGCATATATTTTCTTGTTAAATTTATAAATATCTTAAAATGTATAATATCAACATCTTCTGGCCCAACTGAAGGCAATACTTTAGCATTCTTTTATTCTCTGTCAATCACTATCTTCCATAACTGCCAAACTCATTTATTTCATCCACAGTGCTTTGAAAATTTAATGTGCTTATAATCAAATTTGGGATCACGTGGAATCATGTTAAAATTCACAGTGATTCACAAGGTGTGATATGGAGCCTGAATTTCACATTTATAGTAAGTTCCAAGTGTGTCTTCTACACTTGTGACTACAAAACTGGGCCTTGAATGAACTGCATCAGAATCACCTGAGAGCTGGTTAGAAATATGGAATCTCAGGTTCTACCTGAGATGTACTGGAATAGAATTGCATTTAAGAAGATTCACTAAAGCTTGAGAATAGGCTTAAAAACAAGAACAAGGTGATGTTGATCTTGTGGGGGCCATAGGTTTTTGGCCCCATATGGGTTTCCTAAAAATTATTGACATAAGGCAGATTGATTAATAGGAGAAAAGACATACAAATTTATTTAAAATGTATACACAGGAGTGTTCAGAATTAGGACTCAACTTCTCAGTAACTTACAGAAACTTACATCATCCTGAGGCCAATAAACTATGCAGACTCAGAACATGGCCAGAAACAGGTAAATTGTTTAATGCCAAGAAAAGTTAAGAGAGAGAAAGGAAGAAGCTGGGCAAGGCAGGTGGTCTTGTTATGTAGATGAAGTCTCCCTCAGAGAGAATAGATGATAAAGTTTCTTTTCAGACTTCAAAAGGTATCAGACTCTCAATCTCTCCTGGATTTGGGGAAAGGAATAGAAAGGGGAAGAGGGCATTTCTTCATTAATGGAGATTCTCTACAGATGCAATTTTTTTCTACTTAAGACAGTTTTGCAAGGCCACTTTTGTTAGGATGGCCAAGTGTCAGCCATTTCAAAATATGTCAAAGAAATATACTTTGGAGTAAAATATTTTAATTTCTTTCAGTCCCACTCTGAAACTTAAAACAAGTTTCACATATTAAAACCCAAGCTGTTAGCTTTAGAGAAATTTGGGTTAGAGGTTGTTAGTGATAAAGATTTAGAAAGACAAATTAAGATAGAAAAAGAGCAAATTTAAACATATTGTCCTGTATCTTCTTTAGTCATTCTCTTAGGACTGAGAGTAAATTATTTCATTTAAGAAACTACATCCCATTCCCAGACATGGCATTGCAGATGGGCTAAGCCTCTATATATGATGTAAGGAATCAGATCTCTAATAAAGAGGCATTTCTATAGAAACAGGAAAAAAACACACAAAGGTTAATGTCTGGAGTAGTTAGTATATAGACTAGCTTTTTTAGAATCTCTGAGTCATCTTCAGATTGCAGTGGCAATTTGACAGATTCTTCTGGATTGATGTTCAAATCAGGTGTTCAGGCGAACTTTCTGAGAACTTCATACATTAGCAGGCAGGCACAAAGATTGTTTATATACATAAGTTGCTATATTATTTCCCCAAGTTTAAATTGTCTAGCACGGCTTTAAGAATACCACAGTTTTAATTTCTACTGATGTCAAATAAGAAAAATGGAAGAAAAAATTGAAACGTTAGTTTGGAGACTTATAGCTGGAAAAATACTCAGGATATAGTTCAAATTCAGGAGTCAGTCCAAGAAAATAATAAAAACCACAAAACAATGGACAAGATTAGAGTCTAACAGCAGGTATAATCTTTCTGTCTCCAATACTTCAGTTATATTAAAGACAAAGTAATACTGAGACCAATTTATTTGCCAAATAAAGTCTAGTCTTTTATACGTGGACTGATTATTTGCATAAAGTGCAGCCAAAACAATTATTTGCCATATCCTTTAAAAAACCGGTTTGGCTGGAACATGTCTTTTCATAAGGAATATCAAAATAGATCTTGTAAAAGAGTTAAGCCCAAACAAAGATTTATTTGTGACTGCAGATAATGGTATGAATTAGGTGAATTCCTTTCTTCTTGACATTGCAAGGCAATTTGTGGTTCCTAGGCTTGTCAGAAAGTGTCATTCATTACCTACCACTGATCAAAAATCCCATAAAAAAGCAAGATATAAGTTCAGTTTTACCAAGGAGCTTTTACTGGCTTTATATGTCAACCTCAATTCCTCATGCCTTTGGATTTATCTGAAAGTATGCCATTCTAGTCAGAGCCTTGGTAAAATAACCAGTATCTCAACTTTTTTTACATTACAATATAAAAAAGATTCTTATTGAACTTATGCAAATAACTATATTGCTATGAGTTAAGAATACTCACAAATGGTTTCCAAATTTTGGAGAAATCAGAAAGAGAGAAATATACTTGAAAATTGTTCGTTAAAAGTTATAAATAGCTTAAAAGAAAAAGATAGTTTTCTCGACTCTAAAAAACAAAACAAAAAGAATCAGCAATGTTTTAAACAAAAGTCATAAGATTATTATATTTGTAAAAAGAAAATAAAATTTGAGACACTAATTCATTAAGCCAAAAGGAAAAAGTTAAGCTGAAAGCAGTCATGGAAGCAGCTGCCTTTCCTTCTGTTCCTAAGCAGATAGCTACAGATAAAAGGATAAATATCTCCACAAATTGCTACTCCATGTTCACCTCATCTTGTGAAAAGTGCTGATGTACTGAGGGTGAGACAATAGATAATTGGCCATTCCCCTACCTGCTCCCTTTCCCTTGCAACATGTGGATTTAGTAATGTGACCATAACCTCCCTCAGTTTCCTCCAACCCACTTTTCCCATTTAAATACTGAAGCCCTCAAAATCATCTTTGGAGAAAGGCACAGACCTCTGTCCTGGGCATCTACTTAACCTTGGTAAAATCAACTTCTAAACTGACTGAGACCTGTCTCAGATACTTTTTGGTTTACAAATTGGCAACCAACAGAAGAGACCCTGGGGGAGGTGATACTGACCTTTGACAAATCTTCTATTAGTTCTAGGCTATTTTTATTGATCAAACCAATCGGAAAATTTGCTGAGGTCTGGGAGCTCTCCTGTCTAGAGAATCCTGGGTTCCTCAAATTTGTTTGAGATCTAAGATTTATTTTGCTATAAAACTCCTTTTCTAAAGTTTTACTTGATTCCATCAAGAAAGGAAAGTTTTCCTGCTTCCATGATGATGGAGAACAGGCAAACTCTTTTTGGAGTTTCAGCTAACTTCCAACATGGAAGATGAGTTTGAGTATTTTCCTGTTTCTAAGATGCTAGAGAGCTGTCTATAGCCTGGGCCCAATTCCTAGGTAACTAGCTGAATTGAAGATTTTTCTGGAAATTATCTTTAATGACTAAATTTTAAGATTAAAAACCAGCTGGTCTCAATTTCTCCTTATCATTAGAGCTGTCAGTAATGGTATAAATTGTAAGTTTTTTTTTTCTTTTGCTTAATTGTATTTTTCTTTATTTGTTTTTGTTGTTGTTTCAGTCTTTTTCCAATTGGGTTTGACCAACTCTATCTGACTTGATTAAATCTGAAAAAAGGTCCAGATAATGAGGAACAAGTCCTCTGAATTGGCTAGATTCTCTCAGCTGAAAAAAAAGAAAAAAAAAAAAAAAGGAAAGTAAATGGAAAAATAGGAAACAATGGCCAGCAAAAGGGGAAAAATGGAGAGAAAAAGGTTTTGACAACCAGAGGGGCTTTATTTACTCAACACCACCAACTTTTCCCAGTGAAGCCAAACTGAAAGAGCAATAGCGTTTACCCCATGCTGTATTTTAGTAGCTAAGATTCTGCCCTTTTTTTTTTAACCAAGACAGCCTGGGTTTGGTTCCTAAATCAAGTTATTTCTGGTTTGAAATTTGTGTTACTTTTGAAATACCAGCAGTTTGTCACGGGTAAAATATAATAATAACAGATTAAAAAGGATATTTTTAAGAGGTGTATGGTAAAAGTCAGCTTAAGTAAAAGCTGATATTCTAGGGGTGTGTGTGTGTGTGTGTGTGTGTGTGTGTGTGTGTGTGTGTTCAAAAAGGTCTTTATGCGGTTTTTTTTTTTTTTCAAGATGGAGTTTCGCTCTTGTTGCCCAGGCTGGAGTGCAATGGCGCAATCTTAGCTCACTGCAACCTCAGCCTCCCGGGTTCAAGCGATTCTCCCACCTCAGCCTCCCGAGTAGCTGGGATTACAGGCATGCGCCACCACACCTGGCTAATTTTTTATTTTTATTAGAGATGGGGTTACTCCATGTTGGTCAGGCTGATTTTGAACTCCTGACCTCAGGTGATCCACCCGCCTCAACCTCCCAAAGTGCTGGAATTAAAGGCGTGAACCACCACGCCCAGCCGCTTTGTTTGTCTTTTAGGATCTTGTTTTTTAGTTAAACATTTTTTTTCCCTGTTGACTGAATTCTCTTCTCTCCATTTACTTTGTCCTGTTTCTCCTTCCTATTGCCATTCTCTGCTGCATGAGGGGTCTAAAATAATTTATATTAGCCTGGGATTCCTTAAAGAAAACGGAGAAGACATCGGACTCCTATTTGGGGAGAAATCTACTTTCCCTTCTGAAACCCCAAAGGTATAAATAGACAAGCTTCTCTCCTATTTAAACTGCTTATTTTTGTACTACATTGCCTGATTTTTTGACTAAAATAGTTATTACAATAGTGGCTGCTCTTGGGTGTTTAAGATAATAAAGGTCATGATTTAGATACTTAGATAAATATCTTTATAACAAAGTGCACTCTGTGGCCTAGGTTCTATGGTATCTGCTTTTGGAGATCCAGGAATCAGTGTGGGCTTTTCCCACAGCTTAGAGGTCCAATTAAAAATAGAAACTAAATTAAAGCCTACCGTTCTAAATGAAATTGGTCTTTACATAAAATCTTGTGGTAGATTTCTCTAATTTTATGTTTGACGTGGCATCCATTTTTAATCTCCCTCCAACATACCATAATTTCTCTTCATACTTTGAGATATATATTTAGCTATCTGAATTTCACCTAATAGTTGTTCCATTAGTATGCAAATTTGGAGCCATGTAGCTGACAATTGCCCAGAATAATGAAACAGGTTATCAAGAAATTGAGTCTAAAATAGGAGAAAAAAATGGGAAAACTTATGAATGTATGAGATTTACTTTTACATTCATGTCTAAAATACCTATGCATGTATGTGTTTTATGTATGTCTCACTGCCAAAAATATATTAAAAAGCCGTAATTATTTGGCTTTAAGAAAGAAAAAGCACTTAAATATTTTTCAGAAAAAATAGAGACTTTAGGACATGATGCTTTTTCAAATTCACATGACTTAAGTAAATCTTTAATAAACAAGCTGGTTTAAAATTTTTGGATAAATAAAATTAGAAATGTCTTCAGAATTGCAACATATATTATTTTTAGATATATTGGTCAAGTAGTTTTATATTTATCTCTGCTAAATATTATAAGGTATCAAAATTTGGCATGGGGATTATAAATCTTTAAATGCAGCCCAAAAGATAATTATCCTTGTTTAATTATTTATTTTTTTATAAATAAGGCATCTAATATTGTTGATTTAATGAAAACAGCTAAATTCTGAATTACTGGCAAAAAATAAAACACCTGACATTCACAGGCATTAAAAGTGGTTAAGAGGCAAATAAATTTAAGTAATTACTATCACAGTTTTCATAGGTACTCTAGATAAGCTATTAAAAAAATTAGGCAAATGCAATGAAATAAGTTCTGAATAAACATACAGTTTAGAATCTAAAGAGATATTAAATTAAATAGTAGGTACTTATCAAATATCTACGTAATTTCCAATTTTTTAACAAATTATATAAAATACTTTTTAAAAATTGTGTTCTTATTTAAAGAAAAATTGGTCAGGTATGGTGGCTCATGCCTGTAATCCCAGCACTTTGGGAGGCTGAGGTGGGCAGATCACCTGAGGTCAGGATTTCGAGACCAGTCTGGTCAACATGGTGAAACCCCGTCTCTACTGAAAAATAGAAAAGTTAGTCGGGCATAGTTGGTTACACCTGTAGTCCCAGCTACGAGAGAGGCTGAGGCAGGAGGATCACTCAAACTTGGGTGGCAGAGGTTGCAGAGAGGTGAGATTGTACCACTGCACTCCAGCCTGGGTGACCGGGCAACACTCTGTCTCAATTAAAAAAAAAAAAAAGAAAAAGAAAAAAAAATTTCATCTTACTTGAAGGTCCTTTAAAGGTCATTTATAGAACAGTGTAAATGGAACCAGTAAATAAGAGAGATGTAAAAAAAGGTTGCAAATATAATGAAGTATTTGGGGGTAAGAATTTTTAAAAGAAAAATAATTTTATGTAAGGAAGAATCTTGTATGGCAAATTTTGTTCTAAAATAAAATTACTAATTATTTAGAAAAGAGGGGGATTCATGATAAAATTGGCAGTCCAAGCATGTTTTGAAAGATTTGTTTAAGTCGTAATGAGGTTTGTAAGTAGAGGATTCATGGGGGAAAAAGACTTTATGTAATCTAGTTGGCTATAATCTAAGAAAATTATTAATAATAGTTTAGAGATTGGACGTTGACATTAAAAATACAGCAATACCCTAATGAATTGGTAAGGACAATAAAATTTTCTTAAGATATTGATTTACCTTTAATAAATATAAAAAAGATTCCATTTTTTTAAATCCAAAAATTCAACTTTTTATTGCATCTCATTGTTTTCAGCTTTCTCTCCCTTTTGAAAAGAACTGAGATAATAGTTCTCTTTCAAATTTTTAATCAATTCCTGTAATTTTTTTCCCGCAGGTTCTAACTGTTGTTGTGGTCTCATGCTGAAAATGTTTTATCTTAAAAGTCTAAAGGAAATGTTTTCTTCTTATATAACATTCTGTGATCATGAATTTAGATTGTTCTATAAAACTGAAAACTTTTACTTGTAACCCAGGACACAATTTTTCTATATCTAACTAATGCAAATACCATTTTCATTGGCTTTGACCTGCAGGTTACCTAAATGGACTGCCAATAGAGAAAAGCAATTACACTGCAGAATTTTTTTTTTTTTTTGACTTTTGGTAACTGGTCTAACAAACAGATTTTATGTTTGATCAAAATAATTTCTATGCCATTGTTATTAAGTTTTTATTTACTTAGGAAAACTGAGACAAACAATTTTCTAAAATTAAGGTTATTACCTCCATGTAACTTTCCTTGTGGCTTTTAAAGTACCTGTGCTGATTAGTTACAGGACTTTGACTCCTGGGTCTAAAAAGGACAAGTCCTGCTAAATCTTAAGCACTGACTGTATTTAAAGACTCACCTTTATATCCAGGAGAAGATGACAATCAAAATAAACTGCACTCATGAGACAGGAGGCCAGAATGAAAACTATTCAAGTCCTCTAGGGACAGGGACTGTTGCAGAAGAGGTGGGCATGTGAGATTTTAAGGGCTGATCTTGAGAGATAAAATTAGGTCAGAGTTTCTCCATAAATTAAACATGAACATCAAAGGCACACTGATGCAAGACGAGCATCTGGGTTCCTGTGTCAAATTGACAAGATTTTCTTGGAGCATTAACCCACTTGTTAATAAATAATTATAAAAGGTCATAAAAAGTTTCACAGAACTTAAAATTTAACAGATTGTTTATAAGGTTTGGGAGACAGATTTAATTGTTCTCGTGCCGTGTTTATTAGGGCTTATATTTTAGGAAATTAAGACTCCTATCAAAGAATAAAGGTTTTTGCCTTTTTTTGATATCTATGTGTTGTCACTTTGGCTAAATGAATTTTTTTTTTTTTTTACAGTAACCTGTGATCCTATTTTGTGGTGTCAAGTGTTTTAAACTTTTTATATTTGACAAAATTTCCCAAATCAAATTGTAAATTCAGTTCTTTTGACCTCATTAGTTTTTTTTAATATATATTAGGTCTCTTGAAGTCCAAAAGAGACATATTCAGCCTATTTCGTATTATAAAATCATACAGGAATATGATTTTGGCAACTATAAAATGTTGCTTAATTTCTTCAGATTATATTCTGTAAGTATGCCATTAGTATGTGTTCCAAAGTTGCATGAGATTTCTATGATTCTGATGTGTCTTAGTATATGTTATCAGTAGTAATCATAACTAGTATGTAATATTGTTGTATGCTACTAAAGTAACCAAATTTCCTTGTCAATGGTGTCATTAACCATGACTGTTCCTAGACTGTTGTCATCCACAATTTTTGTGTTACTTTTATCCTTTCATTGGGTAGTTTATAATCAGCTATAGAACTCTAAGGAGCATCTGTAATGTGGCCATACTCTCCTTCTTTCCTCTCCAGCCCAGTTTCCCCTTTAAATATTGAAGCCCTCAAAATCATCTTTGAAGAAAATCACAGACCTCTCTCCTGGACATGTCTTTAACCTTGGCAAAATCAACTTTTTTTTTTTTAATAAAGGAAAGATGTTTAATTCGCTCATGGTTCCACAGGCTGTATAGAAAGCATAATGCTGGCATCTGCTCAGGGAGGCCTCAGTAACTTACAATCATGGCAGAAGGGAAAGGGGAAGCAGGCATGTCTTACATGGCTGGAACAAGAGGAAGACAGAGTGGGGGAGGTGCCACTCATTTTTAAACAACCAGATATTGTGAGAACTCTATCACAAGACAGCACGAGGGGGCTAGTGCGAAACCATTAGAAATCACCTCCACAAGCCAATCACCTCCACAAGCCAATCACCTCCCGCCAGGCCCCACTTCCAACATTGAGGATTATAATTTAACATGAGATTTGGGTGGGGACACAGATCCAAACCATATCATACCATAATCAAGATACTTCCAGTACTGTCACCACGGGATTCCTGGTGCAATTCATTTCTAGCCACCAACTCCACATCCATTCCCTTGCCACTAGCAAAACTAGCTTGTTTTCTATATGTAGAATTCTGTCATTTCACAAATACTGTATAAATGAAATTGTGTAGTGTGTATCCTTTCGAGATTGGATTTTTTTATTCAGTGTAATTTCCTTGAAGTTCATCAAAGTTCGGCAAAATTAACTTCTAAACTGATTGAGACCTGTCTCAGATACTTTTGGCTTACATAGTGTTCTGTTAGTTTAGTCCATGTAATTAACTCCTGTTTTGCTTCAAATCTTTCATTAGTCCACAATCCTCATGAACACATCAGCTGTCTATGACAGTCCTGGATGTTTTTATCTCGATTTTAAAGACATAATCTTTAGTGTTATCAGAAACCTTCATTTAACGTCACCTGTTCAAGTCATACAGCTGACTATACACCATCTTTTATTTTATTTTTACATTTTAATTTTATTTATTTAATTTTTTTAATTTTATGGGTGCATAGTAGGTATATATATTTATGTGCTACATGAGACATTTTGATAGAGACATACAATGTAAAATAAGCACATCATGGAGAATGAACTATCCATCACCTTGAACATTTATTTTTTGAGTTAAAAATAATCCAATTACATTCTTTAAGTTATTTTACAATGTACAATTAAATTATTATTGACTATAGTCATTTTATTTTGCTTTCAAATAGTAGATCTTATTCATTTTTTTAAATAGGGATTCGTTGCATGTGTAGATTCCTTTGGATAATGTGTTAGTCCATTCTCACACTGCTAGTAAAGACATACCAAAGACTGGATAATTGATAAAGGAAAAAGTTTAATTTACTCACAGTTCAGCATGGCTGGGGAGGCCTCAGGAAACTTATTTACAATCATAGCAGAAGCAGAAGAAACATTTCCTTCTTCACATGGTGGCAGCAAGGAGAAGTGCTGAGCAGAATGGGGAAAAGCCCCTTATAAAACGATTAAATCTCATGAGAACTCACTCACTATCATAAGAACAGTATGAGGGTAACATGATGATAAATTTTTCTTTTTCAGACTTTAAAAGGTGTCAGACTTTCAATCTCCCCTAGATCTGGGGAAAGGCATAGAAAGGGGAAGAGGGCATTTCTGCATTAATGGAGATTCTCTACAGATACAATATTTTTCCACTTAAGACAGCTTTGCAAGGCCACTTCTGTCAAAATGGCCAATTGGCAGCCATTTCAAAATGTGTCAAAATATTTTGATAAATATATTTTATTTTTCTTTAATATAATGGTCTCTTGATCATCTTTTGTGTACCAAGTGTATAGAGGAGCATATCTAAAACTGAGTACACATGGAAATCACCCATTTGTTTTAAATATTGATGCCTGGTTTCTACCCACAGGGATTCTAATTTAATTAACATGTGGTCTGTACTTAGCATTAGGATTCTTCAAAGATCCTCAGGTAATAATGATATGCAGCAGTGTTTCAGAACTATGAAACAAAATTTTTTATTTATTAGCTATAAAAAAATACCCTTCCTTTCTTCCTTTCTGCCTCCCTCCCTTACTCTATTTATTTCCTTTTCTTTTTATTTCCAATTTTTTTGAAAGGTTTAATGTTTTTGTAAGGAAAGAAAAATGCCACCTACTTGAGCATTCTTACATTTCTTTACCTATTGTATCATCCTCCACATATTTGTTTGTTTATTATTGGTAAAATACTTCCTCCAATACCTTTCCAAAGCCTTGAATTATCTCTGACTCTTAGGGTTTAAATTTCAGCTTTACCGTTTATTAGCTGTATGAAAAACCCACAGAAGCTGAAAGAAGACTGAATTTCAAAAGATTTTGAATCTGATGCATTCCAAAATAGAATAAAATTTGAAAGTAAAATATAACCCATTGTATTAGTCAGGGTTCTCTACTCCTCCAGCAACACCCTCACAGACACACTCAGAAACAATACTTTACCTGCTATCTAGACATCCGTCACTCCAATCAAGTTGACACCTAATATTCACCGTCACACCCATAAAAGGCATAGTAATTGGATCCCAAAATGAGAAGAAAACCAAACCTCAGTCAGGATAATTTTGTGTGCCACAAAGGGGCTCAAGCCAAGAGAGAATTTTCTGTTTATTCCCATTTCTCTTTTCCACCTTTCCCTGACATTGTCAATCTATTCTTTTGCCATTGAAGAGCAGCTATAGAACAGCACTGGGCCAGCACTGTCACAGGCATTTAAACTAGAGTGGCTCCATCTTGAATAAGGGCTGTGTAAAATAAGGCTGAGACTTACTGGGCTGCATTCTCAGGAGATTAGGCATTCTTAGTCACAGGATAATATAGACAGAACAGGATACAGGTCACTAAGATCTTGCTGATAAAATGGGATGCAATAAAGAAGCTGGCCTAAACCACCCAAACCAAGATGGCAACTGAAGTGACCTCTGGTTGTCCTCACTACTCATTATATGCTATTTATAATGCATTAGCATGCTAAAACACACTCTTGTCAGCACCATGACAGTTAGCAAATGCCATGGCAATGTCTGGAAGCTACCCTATATGGTCTAAATGGGGGAGGAACACTGTTTCAGGAATTGCTCACCCCTTTTCTGGAAAACTCATGTATAATCCATCCCTCGTTTAGCATAAAATCAACAAATAACTATAAGTATACTCAGTTGAGCAGCCCATGCCACTGCTCTGCCTATAGAGTAGCCATTATTTATTCTTTTACTTTCTTAATAAACTTGTTTTCAATTTATTCTATGGACTCACCCTGAATTTTTTCTTGCGAGGGGTCCAGGAACCCTCTCTTGGGGTCTGGATTGGAACACCTTCCACTAAAAACACAACTTTAGTATTGAAAGAGAAAAATAATTAATGCACATTAGTTAGCACACATAATCTACAAAGGACTGAGAAAGCCAGGTTTAAAGAATAGTCTATCTTCATTATTCATGGATTCTATGTTTGTGAATGAATTTGCATTCCTATCATCCTTTGTTGCTTTGATAGATCAACCTTTCTTTCAGGTATCATTTTTCTTTTAGCTGAAAAATGTTGTTTGGAACGTCTTATAGCGCAGATTTGTTGGTGATTAATTTTCTCTGCTTCTGTTTTTTTCAGAAGTCATTTTATACCTTAGTTTTTGAAATAAATTTTAATTGGCTATATAATTCTAGATTGACATTAAAAAATTAATAGTTTAAAAATGTTCTAGTTGATATAGTTCTGGTGAGTAGTCTATTGTAAGTTTTATCTTTGTTCCTCTGTGATGTGTCTTTTTTTCTAGATCTTCTAAGATTGATATGTTTATTAATAGTTTTCAGAAGATTGATTATTGTATGCTCTTCTTATTATCATTATTATTATTGTTCAGCATAGGGTTATTATACTTCTTGGATCTTTATATATCTATATTTATGTATTCAAAATAGAATATTTTTTAGCAAATATTTGTCTAAGTATTTTGTCTATCTATTTCCCTTACTGGGATTGATATCTTATATCTTCAAGAAACTTTAAAATTTTTCTAAAATTTACCATTGTTGTATTCATTTTTTTTTAATCTATTGCAATTTTGTAAGTACACTGATCTTTTTCTGTGCTAATTATACTGAATTCTATCCAGGGCATTTTTCATTGACTATACACAATTTTTTATTTTCAGAGATTCTACCTGAATTTATTTTATATTTTCCATCCCCCTCCTCATTGTGTCCATGTTTCCTTCTACCTACATAAATATAGGAGCCCTAATTTATAATGGCTATATAAATATAATTATGAATTTCATACTTTTAGTCTTTTTTAATGTTTTATTTTTGTTTTTACTTGACATAATAATTATACATATTTGTGGGGTACAAGGTGATGTTCTTATACATATATATTGTGTAATGATAAAATCAGGGGATTTGCATATTCATCACCTCAAACATTTGACATTTTTTGTAGTGGAATTCAGAAATTCTCTCTTCTAGCTATTTTGAAGTAAACAATACACTTTTTACCCATCCCCTCAAGTATTTATCCTTTGTGTAACAAATATTCCAATTACTTTCTTTTAGTTTTTTAAAAATGTAAAAGTAAGTTATTGACTATAGTCACCCTGTTGTATTACCACATATTAGGTCTTCTTCATTCTTTTGAACTATTTTATTGTTTTGCATATTAACCATCTTGACCTCCCCCTCACCCCACCCCCCACTACACTTCCTAGCTTCTGGTAACCATACTTTTACTCTCTATGTCTATGAGTTCAATTGATTTGATTTTTAGATCCCACAAATAAGTGAGAGCATGCCATGTTTGTCTTTCTGTGCCTAGCTTCATTCACTACACATAATGATCTCCATTTCTGTTCATGGTGTTGCAAATGACAGAATCAAATTATTTTTATGGCTGAAGAGTACTCCATCATGTATATGAATTGCATTTTCTTCATCCATTCATCTGTTGATGAACACTTAAGTTGCTTTCAAATCTTAGCTATGTCTGTGTTTATTCAAGTATCATGCTCTTTTGGTGACTATCACTCTGTAGTATAATTTGAAGTCAGATAATGTGATTCTTCCAGTTTTGTTCTTTTTTCTTAGGATAGCTTTGTCTGTTCTGGAACTTTTGAGGTTCCATATAATTTTTTTTTATATTTCTCTAAAGAATGTCATTGGTATTTTGATGAATATTTCATTGAATCTGTAGATTGCTTTGGATTGTATGGAAATTTTAACAATATTGATTCTTCCAATGCATAAATATACAATTTCTTTCCATTTTTGATGTTCTGTTAAATTTCTTTCATCATTGCTTTATAGTTTCCAATAAAAAAGATCTTTCACTTCTTTGGTTTTAAGTGAATTCCTAGGTATTTAATTTTATGTGTGGCAATTATAAATGGGATAACTTCATTTATTTATTTGAGACAGAGTTTCACTCTTGTTTCCCAGGTTGGAGTGCCATGGCATGATCTTGGCTCACTGCTACCTCTGCCTCCTGTGATTGAGCGATTCTCCTGCCTCAGCCTCCAGAGTAGCTGAGATTAGAGGCCTGTGCCAGCACGCCTGGTTAATTTTGTATTTTTAGTAGGGACAGGGTTTCATCATGTTTGTCAGACTGGTCTTGAACTCCTGACCTAAGGTGATCGGCCCATCTTGGCCTCCCAAAATTCTGGGATTACAGGCATAAGCTGCTGCCCCGAGGATAAATGGGATAACTTTTAAAATTTCTTCTTCACATTGCTCACTGTGACACATAGAAATGCTACTGGTTTTTGCATGTTGATTTTGTGTTCTGCAATTTCACTGAATTTGTTTATGAGTTCCAATAATTTTTTTGTGTGGAGTGTTTAGGTTTATCATATCATCTGCAAACAAGGGTAATTTTACTTCTTTCTTTCCTATTTTGATGCCTTTTATTTCTTTCTTTTGTCTGATTGCTCTGGGTAGGACTTCCAGTACTGTGTTGAATAATGATGGTCAAAGTGGACACACTTGTCATCTTCCAGATCTTAGAGGAAAGACTTAGTTTTTCCTCATTCAGTATAATACTAACTGAGGGTCTGTCATATATGGCTTTTATTATGTTGAGGTGTGTTCCTTCTATATCCAGTTTTTTGTGCTTGTATTATGAACAGATGTTGAATTTTATCAAATGCTTTTCCAGCATCAGTTGAAATGATTGTATAGTTTTTGTTCTTCATTCTCTTGATATGATGTGTCACGTCAGTTGACTTGCATATATTGAACAATCCTTCTCGCTGTATTAAATCCCATGTTGTCACAATGAATAATCTTTTTAATGTATTGTCGAAATGTTTAATTAGTTTTCTAGTATTTTGTTGAAGATATTTGCATTAATATTCATCAGATATATTGGCCAGTAATTTTCTTTCTTTGATACGTTTTTGTCTGTGTTTTTTGTTGTTGTTGTTGTTTGTTGTTATTTTAAATCAGGGTAATACTGGCCTAGTAGAATAAGTCTGAATGTATTCGCTTCTTCTCTATTTTTCCAAGCAGTTTGAGTGGGATTGATATTATTTCTCTAAATGTTCAATAGAATTCAGCAGTGTAGTTTGTCATTGTGTCCCAGGCTTTTTTTTTAAAGAGAAAATTTTATTATGTCTTTAATCTTATTATTTATTATTAATCTGTTTAACTTTTGGATTTCTTCCTAGCTCAATCTGGGTAAGATGTTTGTGTCTCAGAGTTCATCTATTTCTTCTAGATTTTCCAATTTATTGGCAAATAGTTGCTCATAGGAGCCAATAATAATCTTTTGAATTTTTGCAGTGGCTGTTGTAATATCTCCATTTTCATCTCGAATGTTATTTATTTGGATTTTCTCTGTCTTTTTGTTAGTCCAGTTAAAGGTTTGTCAATTTTGTTTAACTTTTCAAATAACCTACTTTCTGTTTCATTGATCTTTTTTATTGTTTTGTTCATTTGCATTTTATTGAAAATGAAATTTATTTCTGCTCTGATCTTTTTTATTTTTTCTACTAAATTAAAGTTTGTTTTGCTGTTGATTTTCCAGTTCTTTAAGATGTGTTAGACTGCTTACTTGAAAATTTTCATCTTTTTTGATGTAGGCACTTCCAGCTGTAAACATCCCTCTTAGTACTGCTTTTGCTGTATCCCATAGGTTTTGATATGTTATGTTTCCATTATCTTTGGTTTCAAGAAATTTTTCTATTATCTTCTTAATTTCTTCATTAACCCAGTAGATATTCAGGTACATATTGTTTAATTTTTTGTATTTGTATGGTTTATGAAATTCTCTTGTTATGGATTCCTAATTTTATTCCATTGTGATCAGATAAGATGCTTGATACTCTTTCCAATTTTTTGGAATGTTTTAAGACTTGATTTGTGAACTAACATAGGGTCAAACATTGAGAATAATTCATGTGCTGAGGAAAAGAATGTGTTTTCTGCAGCTCTTAGATGAAATTTTCTGTAAATATCTATCAGGTCCATTAGGTCCATAGTGCAGATTAAATTCAATGTTTCTTTGTTGATTTTCTGTCTGGGAGATCAGTCCAATGCTGAAAGAGGGTGTTGAATTCTGTGACTATTATTATATTGAGGCCTATTTTTCTATATATCTTTAATAATAGTTGCTTTATACATCTGGGTGCTCTAGTGTTGGGAGCGTATTTACTTACAATCATTATATCATCTTTTTTAACTGACTTTTTATCATTATATAATGACTATGTTTGTCTCTTCTAATAGTTTTTGTCTTAAAATCTATTTTGTCTGATGTAAGTGTAGTTACTTCTGCTCTTTTTTGGTTTTCATTGGTATGGAACATCATTTGCTAACCATTTATCTTCAGTCTATGTGTATCTTTATAGGTGAAATGTGTTTCTTGCAGGCAATAGATCATTGGGTCTTGTTTTCTCATCCATTAAGCTACTCTATATCCTTTTATTGAAGAGTTTAGTGCATTTTCATTCAATGTTATTATTGGTAAGTAGGAACTTACTACTGCCATTATTTTATTTGTTTTCTGGTAATTTTCTCTCAAGGTATTATTACATTTTTTGCTCTTTATTTTTATGTATTGTTGTATGTTTTTTGATTTGACGTTACCATGAGGCTTGTAAATTATATCTTATAACCTACTATTTTAAACTAACAACTTTACACTAGTTGCATAAACAAACATGCAACAGAAAACAACTATAGTACCCTATACTTTAAATTTGTTCTCCCACTTTTTACCTTTTTGTTTTTTCTCTTTATGTCTCATAATATGTCTTGAAAGTTGCCATAGGTATTAATTTTAATTAGTTAAATATTTAAATATTTAATTTTTCTAATTAAGATAAGAATAGTGTGCACACCACAATATCTATGGTATAATATTATGTGTTTTTCTGTAGGTTTATGATTACCAGTGAGTTTTGTGCCTTCAGGTGATTTCTTCTTGCTCAGTAACATCCTTTTCTTTCAAAATGAAGAATTCCCTTTAGCATTTCTTTTAGGATAGTTCTGGTGTTAATAAAATTCCTTAACTTTAGTTTGTTTGGAAAGGTCTTTATTTCTCCTTCATATTTGGGTGATATTTCTGCTGAATATACTATTCTAGGATAATAGTTTTTCCTTCAGCAATTTAAATATGTTAAACCACTCTCTCCTGGCCTTTAATTTTCACTGAACAGTCTGGAGACAGATGTATTGGAGCTCCATTGTATGTTGTTTGTGTCTTTTCTCTTGCTGCTTTTAGGGTATTTTTTTTCATTCTTGACCCAAGGTCCACAGCATACTACCTAGATATTGCTCCTGGTTATTTAAGGCCTATTGGTTCTTTAGTCAGCAGGTGATGAATACTGCCAGGACTTGGTCCGTCCCTTCAAGGAAGCAGTTTCCCTTTTAGCTCAGGGTCTATTTGGAAATGTCACCTTTGAGCTATTGCCTGGAATGGGGGACTCAAAACTCTGTCCGGTGCCGTATCCTACTGTGGCTGAGCTTGTATCCACAATGCAAGACAAAGTCCTCTTTACTGTCTGTTCTCCTCTCCTCTCCTCTCCTTAAGCAGAAGAAAGGAGTCATTTTCGTTGTTGTGAGATGTACTGCCTAGAGTTGGGGGAGGAGTGGCACAAGCACTGACTTAGCCACCCTAGCTGTTGTCTCCCTAGGTTACACGCCACCCTGGTCCACTGGCTCTGAGCCTAGCTCAGTACTAAGAATTGTCTAGGAATTGCAGTTTTTGTGTCCTAGAGTGCCTTTTGAGTTTATCTAGAACTCCAGAGCACGTTGGCCTGTGGTGGCAAGGCTTTCCAGGAAACTCAAGTTCTGACCCCTGGGATGGGAGATTCCCCTCTGGACAGATCTTGTCCAAATGCTCTCTCCATGTGTGGATGCTAGGTGAACCCAGCGCAGCCTTGCTCTCTGATATTCAATGTAAAGTTCCCCAGTCACTGCGCTCTCCCTCCTCCAACTACATAGACTCTCTGTGCCACACAGCTTCTTTCAGGGGATAGGAGAGGAGTGGTGTCAGTGATTCAAGGCTGTTTCTCCTGCCTTCTTCAATGCCTCTTTCAGTGACATGAAGTTAAAATCAGGTATTATAATTGGTCACCTGATTTTTTTATTCTTACGTTGCTTTTGTATATAGAGATAGTTGTTATAGTTTGGGTGTCCCAGGAGAGGGGACTGATGGTATAGGCTTTTATTTCATCATTTTGCTCCATTCTCTCTCTATTAATAATTTTTTTTTTTTTTGAGATGGACTCTTGCTCTGTCGCCCAGGCTGGAGTGCGGTGGCATGATCTTGGCTCACTGCAACCTGTTAATAAATTTTTTGTGTTCTGACTGCTCCACCAACTGACCATTTCCTCATTTCTCTCATTCTCCACCGTCCCTCTATTGCTTGATACATTATAATATTAAAATTAGGACAATAAAAACACTACAATAGCTTCTCAGTGTTCAAGTGGAAGTAAGATCCATATGTCTCTCATTTTAAATCAAAAGTTTAGTAAGGAAGTTATGTCTAAAACCAAGATAAGACAAAAGCTAGGCCGCCTGTGCCAAAAACACAGGCAAGTTGTGAATGCAAAGCAGAATTTTTTGAAGGAAATTAAAAGTGTTACTCCAGGGATTACACAAATGATTAGAAATCAAAACAGCACTATGGCTGATATAGAGAAAGTTTGAGTTTTCTGAATAGAAGATCAAACCAGCCATAACATACCCTTAAGCCACAGCCTAATTCAGAGCAAGGCCATAACTCTCCAATTTTATGAAGGCTGAGAGAGGTGAGAAAGCTTAAGAAAAACTTGAAGCCATCAGTGGTGAGGCATGAGATTTAAGGAACGAAGCCATTACCATGACACAAAAGTGTAAGTTGAAATAGAAAATGCTGTTGTAAAAGCAGCAGCAGGTTATCTAGAAGATGTAGCTAAGATAATTAGTGATGGTGACTACAATAAACAACAGATTTTCTATTGGAAAAATATGCCACATAAGACTTTCATAGCTAAAAGGAGAAGTCAATGCCTGGCTTCAGAGCTTCAAAGGACAGGCTAATTCTCTTGTTAGGGGCTAGCGTAGCTGGTGACTTTAAGTTAGAGCCAGTGCTCATTTACCACGCTGAAAATTCCAGGTTCTTTAATAATTATGCTAAGTCAATCCTGTCCTTGGCCTATGAGTAGAACAACAAAGCCTTGATAAAAACACATCTGTTTACAACATGGTTTACTGAACATTTTTTTTTTTTTTTGAGATGGAGTCTGGCTGTGTTGCCCAGGCTGGAGTGCAGTGGCACGATCTTGGCTCACTGTGAGCTCCACCTCCTGGGTTCACACCATTCTCCTGCCTCAGCATCCCGAGTAGCTGGGACCACAGGTGCATGTCACCACACCTGGCTAATTTTTTTGTATTTTTAATAGAGACAGGGTTTCACCATGTTAGCCAGGATGGTCTCGGTCTCCTGACCTTGTGATCCGCCCACCTCATCCCCCTAAAGTGCTGGGATTACAGGCGTGGGCCACCATGCCCGCCAGTTTACTGAACATTTATAGCCTATTGTTAAGACCTACTGTTCAGAAAAAAATTCACTTGAACATATTGCTATTCATAGACCATGCACCTGGTCCCCCAAGAGCTCTGATGGAGACATACAAGGAGATTAAAATTGTATTGCCTGATAGCAAAACATTCATTTTGCAACCATTGAATCAAGGAGTCATCTTGACTTTCAAGTATTATTGTTTAGAAAGTACATTTTGTAAGGCTATAACTGCCATAGATAGTGATTCCTCTGATGGATCTTGGCAATGTAAACTGAAAACCTTCTTAAAAGAATTTAATATTTTAAATGCCACTAATACCATTCATGGATTGGTTGGAAGAGGTCAAAATATCAACATTTATAGGAGTTTGAAAGAAGTTGATTCCAACCTCCATGAATGACGTTGATGAGTCCAGAAGTTTAGCGGACAAGTAATTGCAAATGCTCCAAATGCAGTGGAAATAGCAAGAGAAGTAGAATTAGATGTGAAGCCTGAAGATGTGACTGAATTATTGTGATGTCATTATAAAATTTGAATGGATGAGAAATTGCTTCTTATGGAAGAGCAAAGAAAAAAAATTTTTTTGAGATTGAATCTACTTCTGGTGATGATGCTGTGAACATTGTTAAAATGACAACAAATAGTTTAGAATATTCCATAAAGTTAGTTGATAAAACAGTAGCAGGGTTTTAGAAGATTGGCTCAAATTTTGAAAGAAGTTTTACTGTCAGTACTAAAGAAATAGATGATCATTAACATTTTTTGGGAATAAAAATTCTAAATAAAGGCAGGTACATTGTTATTTAAACATAAAGCTAAATTGTGCACCCATAATAGACAGTACCATATAAACATAACTTTTATATACACTAGAAAATAAAATAACTTGTGTGATTTGCTTTTTTGGGATATTTGCTTTATTGTGGTGATCTAAAGTTGAACCAGAATATCTATGAGATAGGGCTCTATTTCTAACAGGTTGTTGTTTTGTTGTTGAATCTTTAGAGTTTTCTATATATATGAGCATATCATCTGCGAACAAATAATATTACTTCTTCTCTATAAACTTGGATGCCTAATATTTCTTTTTCTAGTGTGATTTCTCTAGCTTCAACTCTCAGTACTATGTTGAAAAGAAGTGGTTAGAGTGAGCAGCTGTGCCTTATATCATATTTTAGAGGGAAAGTGTTCAGTTTTTCCCTCATTTATTATGATGTTTGCTGTGGTATTTTTACATATATGTTTTTGAATGTTAAGGTAAGTTCCTTCTGTATCTATCTGAGAGTTTTAATCATGAATGAATGTTTTTTTCTGTGCCAATTTACATGATCATTTGTTTTCATTGTGTTAATGTCTTACATGACATTAACTGAGTTTTGTACATTGAACCACCCTTGCACTCTAGTGGTACACATCATTTGATCATGGTGAATAATCCTTTTAATGTGCTTTGCTGGCATTTTATTGAAGATTCTTACATTTTGTCCATCAAAATTATTTCCCTGTAGTTTTTTGTAGTGTCTTTAGTTTTGGTATCAGGGTGATGTTGGCCTCACAAAATGTGTTTGGAAGTTGTTGTGAATATATTCTAGGTAAGTGATTGGAAAATGTGTTGTAAAATGCAGTAATCAGTAGAAACATGCCAGTATCAGGATAACCACTGCAACCCAAAGTACTTCTTTCCTGACCTTTAGAAATGTTGACCAGATTGTAAAGAACCCAAAGAATCCCTTTAGGTAGAGAGTAAATAAATTAAGAAAGTAATCAGATGCTTTAACAGACCATCAGTGACATTTTTCTTCTTTTTTTCCTACTTTCCTTTTTTTTTTTTCATGGTATAAAGTTTACATAAATCACATTGTAGAGATCTTCCTCATTTTCCTGTTGCCCAAGGCTACCTTGTATATAAATTCTTCTTGAATAAGGTTTTGACTACCTAACAACCTGGAAAGTTCTGCCTCTTTATTTGGTCTGAACTTGTCTTCTTCTTATGGAGAGTGAGGCTTGGTTCCAGTAGGGTGTTTTCTGAACAAATGTGTTTCCTCTTCTATTTTTTGAAAGCGTTTAAGAGGTATTAATATTGCTTCTTTGAATGCTTAGTAGAATTCACCCATAAAAGCATCTGACCCTGGGCTACTCACTGTTGAGAAATTTTGGATTACTGATTTAATCTTCTTTATTTTTATTGGTCTATTCAGATTTTCTATTTTTTCATGATTCAGTCTTGATAGGTTGTATGTTAAGAAATTTATCCATTTATTCTAGGTTATCCAATTTGTTGGCATATAATTGTTCATAACATTTTCTTATGATCCTTTGTATTTTGGTCGTGTCAGCTGTAATGTCTCCGTTTTTATTTTGGATTTTATTTATTTAAGCCTTCTCTTTTTTTTTTTAGTTTACCTAAAAGATTATTGATTTTGTCTATCTTTTCAAATAAGCAACTCTATGTTTTGTTAATTTTTCACCTTTTTAGTCTTTTATTTATTTCTTCACTGATCCTTGTTATTTTCTTTCTGCTATTAATTTTGTGCTTATTCTGTTCTCCTTTTGCTAATAATTTGAGGTGTAATTGTAGGTAGCTTATTTGAAATATATATATATTTTTGATATGGACATTTGTTGCTATAAACCTCTCCCTTAGAACTGCTTTTGCTGCATCCCACAGATTTTGGTCTGTTGTGTTTTGTTTTTCATTTGTCTTGAGAAACTTTTTAAAATCCTGTTATGATTTTCTGTTTGACACATTGTTCAAGAGTGTGTTTAGTTTTCATGTATTTGTAATTTTCTCTTTCTCTCTTTTTTTGCTGTTATTAAGTTCTTCTATTCCACTGTGGTCAGTAAAAATATTTGCAATGATTTTAATCTTTTTAAATTTGCAGTCTTGTTTTTTGACCTAACATGTTATCTCTCCTGGAAAATGTTCCATATGTGCTTAAGAAGAATGTATATTCTGCTGTTGAATGGAAATGTGTCTTTTAGATCCTTTAGGCCTATAGTGTTATTCAAGTCAATTATTGTTTTAGTGACTTTCTTTCTAGATGTTCTATGTATTATTGAAAATGTGGTATTGAAATCCACTCTTACTACCCTAATCCTGTCAATTTCTCCCTTTATATCTGTCAATATTTGCTTTATATATGTAGGTACTGTGATGTTTGGTACCCATATATTCATAATTTTATAATCTCCAGGGTTGAATTGACACCTTAATCATTATATAATAAGCTTCTTATCCTCTAAAGATATTTTTAGATTTTAGGTTTCTACAAATACAGTCACTCCTACTTTCTTGTGCTTACAATTTGCACGAAATAAAATTTTCCATCCTTTTGCTTTTAGCTTATACATTTCTTTAAATATAAAGCAAGTCTCGTGTATATAACCATAGTTGGATATTATTGTTTTATGCACTCTGTATCTTTTTATTGGTAATTTTTTCTATCTATATGTAAAGTAATTATTGGTAAGTGAGGGGTTACTATTACCATTTTGGGAATTTTTGTCTGTTGTGCAGTCATTTGTTTCTTCCTCTCTGTTTTTGTATTTGATAATTTTGTAATTATTTTGCTTTGATTCATTTCTATTTATCTGTTGTTTGTATATTAATGCTTTTTCTTTCTGGTGAGCTTTATGCCTGTGAAAGCATCTTGTAGCTATAGCCTTCTATTTTAATTTTAAAACAATTTAACTTTAATCTCTTATAGAAACTCTATAGTTTTACTCCCCTTCACACCCAATGTGTTCTTACAGTCAGAATTTCTTCCTTATTATATTGTGTATTCATTAACAAATTATTACTTTTTAACTTTCATAATAGATTTAAAATAATTTATGCTCCACCATTAGAATTTTAACATCAATGTGTATTTTTCTATACATTTACCTTTACCAGTGGGATTTATGCTTTCATGTTGCTGCATAACATGTTTTTATTTTAGTTTTAAAAACTTCTTTAAGCTTTAGCCCATAAGGAAAGTCTAGTGGTGACAAATATCCATGGGTTTGTGTTTGTCTGTGAAAGATTTTATCTCTCCTTCACTTATAAAAGAAAATTGCAGCCTAGGCAACTGAGTGAGACTCCTGTCCAGTTAGATAGATAGATAGATAGATAGATAGATAGATAGATAGATAGAGTTAGCTGGGTGTGGTGGTTGGCACTTGCAGTCTCAGCTACTCGGGAATTTGAGGTGGAAGAATTGCTTGAGCCAAGGAGTTTGGGGCTGCAAGAAACTGTGATTGCAACCCTGCTCTCCAGCGTTGGTGACATAGTGAGACAGAGAGACAGACAGAAAGAGAGAAAGAAAAAGAAAGCAAGCAAGAAAGAAAACAAGAAAAAGAAAGAAAGAATGAATGAACGAATTAATCAGAAAGAAGAAAACGAAAGCAAGAAAACAAAGAAGAAAAGAATTAAAAAGAAGGAAAGAAAGTAAAAAAGAAAGAAAGGAAGAAAGAAGAAAGAAAGAAAGAAAGAAAGAAAGAAAGAAAGAAAGAAAGAAAGAAAAAGAAAAAGAGAGAAAGAAAGAGAGAAAGAAAGAAGAAAAAAAGGAGGGAAGAAAGGAAGACACATAGAGGGGTACAACATACACTGAGCCTTTTCAGAGGGTGGAGGGTAGGAGGAGGGAGAAGATCAAGAAAAATAATTAATGGGTACTAGACTTAATACCTGTGTCTTGAGATATTCTGGACAACAAACCTTCATGACACAAATTTACCTATGTAACAAACGTTCATTTGTACCCCTAAACTTAAAATATAAAAAAAGACAAAATCAATAAACAGACATTTCACTGCATAGGATATACAGATGGCAGAGAAACACATGAAAAATTGTTCAACAGTATTAGTCTTTAGCAAAACTGAAACCACAACAAGATATTGCTATATATCTACCATAGTGGCTAAAATAAACATGTTATAAACATCTGAACATGAGTGAATATGTGTGTGTATGTGTAAATAATGACATAAACAAAATTTAAAATGACAACACCAAATGTTTGTTGGAATGCCAGTCAGATATTTTTACTCATCCATGGGAATATAAAGTGATACAGACGCCTGGAAAACAGTTTGGCCATTTCTCTTGAAAGTAACTATGCAATTATCATACAGCTTCCATACAGCTTAGTTAGTGCACTCTGGCATTTATCTCAGAGAAATGAAAACATATTCACATCAATATTGTATACAAATGTTTATAACCATGTTATTGAGAGTAACCATAATTGGAAGCAATCAGAAATAAAAATAAAGAAAGGAAGGAAGAAACAAAGGAGACAGTAATAAAATTTTACTTATTTTCCATTGGTTAGCAGTTTTATTTTCCTTTAGTGCTTTGCATATGGTATCTCCCTCTTGATCTGCAAGACTTTTGATAAGAAATCTGCTTATTAATTTTTGGAAAGGTTCCTTTATATGTGATGTGTCACTTTTCATCGTTGTTTTCAGAATTCTCTCATTCTTGATTTTTGACAATTTGTTTATTACGTCTTGGTGCAGTCTTCTTTGGGTTGAAACTATTTGATAACTTGTGAGCCTTAAGAACCTAGTTATATATTTCCATCTCAAGATTTGAAAATTTTTGTCAGGCATGGTGGCTCACACCTGTAATCCCACATTTTGGGAGGCCGAGGCAGTCGGATCACCTGAGGTCGGGAGTTCGAGACCAGCCTGACCAAAATGGAGAAACCCATCTCTACTAAAAATACAAAATTATCCGGGTGTGTTGGCACATGCCTGTAATCCCAGCTACTTGGGAGGCTGAGTCAGAAGAATTGGTTGAACCCAGGAGGCGGAGGTTGCGGTGTGAGCTGAGATTGCACTATTTCTCTCCAGCCTGGGTAACAAGACTGAAACTCCATCTCAAAACAAAAAAATAAAATAAACAAAAATTTTAGGACATTTTAGGACATCAGTTCTTCGTATAAGCGTATGCCCCTTTATTATTCATAGCTCCTTCTGTGATTTTCATAATGCATACATTAGGTCTCCTGATGATATCCCATGAATTCCATACAATTTCTAAAATCTTTTTCATTCTTTTTTTCTTTTTCCTTCTCTGGCTGCATAATTTGAAATGACCTGTCTTTGAATTTACAGATTCTTTCTACTGTTGAAGCTGTCTAATGTATTTTTTTTTGTTTCATTAGCTGTTTTTCAACTCCAGAATTTGTTTTGTTTTTAATGACTTCTACCTCTTTCTTGAACTTGTTTTGCTCATATATTATTTTTCTGATTTATTGAGTTTTCTATTTGTATTTTCTTATTGCTCATTGAGCTTCTCTAAAATAATTAATTTGAACTATTTGTCAGGCAATTCACAGATCTCAATTTTTAGAGTGCCAGTTATTAGAAGATTACTGTATTCATTTATTGGTGTGAATTTTCCTTATTTTTCATAACCTTGTAACTTTGTATAAAGGTCTCCATATTAGATAAAGCACACACCTTTTGCATACTTTAAATACTAGCTTTGGTGGAAAGAAATCTTTTCATATGGGTGAGTGCAAGGGTGCTATCTGCTTTGGTGTGGTTGCTCTACGTCTGTGAGAGACAGGCACAGTAATGCCTCGACCCTGATGAGGCAATGGTGGTCCAATAGTGTAGATTTTAAGCTGCTCTGTCTGCTGAGGTCAGTATCGGTGAAGATTGTGGGAGGTCTTTGGTCACCAAGGCTGTAAGTATCTGCTGTGGCATTACAAGACACTGGGGACCTTTGATGCCATGCTACTGAAGGGGACGAATGTCCTTTCATTCTCTTTTTTTTCCCAAAAAGGTTAAATGGCAGTCCAGAGGATCACTCTTGTCACCAGTGTGTGGGTGCACACACAGTGGCAGTAGCACCAATGCCCAGAATATGGTCATATGCGGAACAGCTACAGCTTGAAATTTGAAGCTGGAATCAGGCAGGAGTGATTCTGATTCTGAGTCTTAATTTTGATTCTGATTTTGAATGTTAACACAGGTACTGTATTTTTCAAAGATCTACGTATACATACGAATCGAGGCAAAGCCTGATAATCATGGTGATTACAGAAATGTTAGTGACACTGAAAGCAAAGCAATGTCTTGTTATTATGAGAGGATTTATGAGAAACGATAATTATAGCAAAGACAAGACAGCAGGGAAGAATAAAAAAAAATTAGGTATCAGGGTCATGGTTCCCCAAATTTAATGTGCTAGGAATCACCTGGGATATTTGTTTAAAATGCATATTTTTTAGCTCTAGATGTTTTGTCAATCAAATTTGCAGATATGGTATAGCATACAGCTTTACAAGTTTCCTAGGTGATTTTGATCTGAAAGCTTGAAAATTATGTATCAAAGGAAAAGACTTTTGACAAGATTCTTGGAACTTTGTGACTTCTTTTTTGGGATATAAAATTCAAAATTAAATTATGTTATATAATATAAAATTCTCTGCTATAGTCTGAACATTTGCTTCCTTCCAAAATTCATATTCTGAAATATATTTCTCAAATGAATGGTATTAAGAGGTGGGGTCTTTGGGAAGTTATTTGGTCATGAGGATAGAGTCGTCATGAATGGGATTAATGCCTTAATAAAGGGCTGAAGAGACTAAAGTTCTTCCCCTCTACCATGTGAGGACACAGAGAGAGGGTGACTTTTATGAATCAAACAATAGACCCTTACTAAACGTGAAATCTGCTAGTGCCTTGATCATGGAAATTCTTAGTGTTAGAATTCAAAGAAATACATTTCTGTTGTTTATAAGCTACCCTGTCAAAGGTATTTTGTTTATAGTATCCTATATGAACTGGACATTCCCTTTATGTAATATAAAATCTAGATTACTAAAAAGTAAAAAGAAACCTCTCACACATACTTTCTTTGCTTAAAACAAATACATATTCAGAACTTTATAGATATATATAGACAAATATTTCTTTACATGAGTTTACTTTTCTACTTGATACACAAAACATAAGTGATTGACTAGGTTGATATCATCTCTGTTTCTCTGTTTGCTAAAGTCACTCTATTGATTGGTTTTTGACACATTTATTTTATTTACCCCATAAGATTTGCTTAATAGTAAGTTATTATTTATTCTAAGCAAGACATTAGAAATATTGCATCACTATATTCATAAATCCAGACACATTGATATTTTATTTCCAGAAATATTGGTAATGTCAGGAAAGACTTTTTGTAGCCTTAACTCTTCTATGGTATGTGCTATTGCAAAATAAGAATACTGTTAATTAAAGTATCTTACGTTTAAGATTCTATTGATGAAATTACCTACTGTACATTTCAAAATGCTATAAGTAATCTATGAGATATGTAATCTCTGATTTGCATGTATGGATTTTCTTCACCTATTTATTTCTCCTTATTGTCCTAGTCAACCTTGCAATTTTCTTGTTCTTTAGAGGCAGCAGTTGTTATTTTTCCTCCATTGTTCCTGTGTGGAAAAGGGCCTGTTTGGTAAAATTTCTTTGAAAACAGATGTACTTGGAATGATTTCAATTAACTAGAAATGACTTCCTTCTTTATGAAATTCTTAATCTACCACATGAGCAAAATAAATCAACTATAAAGTAGGGAGGAGCCATTAAAAAGGAGTGAAGAAGAAGTATGCTTTAGTAAGAGCCAAACAACATATTGAGTCCACCTTCTGAGTAAAACTAGTAATAGCACAGCAAGTCTATCGATAAATATGAGTTAAAAATAATGAAATTTTAATAAAAAATTACATATGCAAAGTTATCAAAGATGAAGACTTTTATTATTTAGTACTTTAGACTGACGTTTCCCCAAAAAACCTTGTTAAATGCCATATTTTTGTCTTCTATAAGATTTAATTTAGATAGATTTGCGTAGCTAATGTTGGGTTACTTTTCTAATGTTTGAGTTGTGACTATATTATTTATAGACACAAAGTAACTTTGGGAGCAGAGGTGGACAAAAGGAGAGAATTAAATGAGTTTAGATTATTTAAAACATTAGTAATTGAATGAGAATAAAAGCAGTAAACAACACATAAACAAGAAGAAGTAAAGAAAATCCTTTTGAACAAAGTTCAAGTTGTACAAAAATGTATCTTTGCCTGTACAGCTGGTACACACATTTTAAATCTGTCATTCTATCAAAAAAACATGGTCCTCCATCAGCTATACTCCTCCAAACATAAGAGGGCAATTTAAAATGAGATAATTGCAAAAACCATTCTTTTTTCAATACTAATGCTATAATTCAGGGATACACAAACTAGGTGGTCCATAGGCTAAATCCAGTCCACCATTGGTTTTACATTTTTCAATGATTGCAAAAAAATCGAAAGAACAGTTTATGATATATGAAGATGACATATAATTCAAATTTCAGTGTCTATGATGAAGTTTTATTAGAATACAGTGATGCTAATTTATTTGTCTATTTTCTATGGCTGCTTTAGCATTACAATAGCAGAGATCAATATTTGTAACAGAGACCATATGGACCACAAAGCATAAAATATTTATAATCTGGCCTTTTGTAGGAGAAGTTTGACAATGCCTGTTCTAATTCAATAAACATTTCTGAGTATTTCAGCAGGCCAACTACTTCACTAGGAAGCCAAAACTTAGACTCTTAAATATGGCTAATTCCACAGTGTATAGGCACATTTATCATTTCTTCCTTGACTCACATTACCTTTCTCATTTGTATATGTCTTGTCTCTTGTATATGTATTTTCTCACTTGTATATGTATCTTCACATAAAATCTTTGAAGGTAATCCTTGTACTTTTTTTATATATTCTAGTTACCTTTTTCTTCACTATTTATACAGTGCTTGCAGTTCATAGATCCTCAAATAATTTTAAAAAGGTAGGTAAATTACATAGTTGATCATAATAAAGGCATATAAGGATGAATTTATCTCTTTGTACTCATAATTTTGTCATTAATTTTTGGGCTTATGTCCTTACAAAATTAACAAGTAATGAATAAAATGACAAACATATCTTAATCCATTACCTTCTTTGGTCATATGTTTTAATTGTAATATTTCCAAAAGCGAGTGACTTCTTGTGGCTTGCTATCTCCCAATATTTATTTTCTGAGTTGTGATAATAACTATGTTATCAGAGTAATTAAAAAGTGTATGTAAAAGAAAGAAATTATTAGCATATGAGTCAAAGACATCCCCTGTATTTCCTTTCACTCTCAAGTTAAAGAGGGATGAGAGTTCAACACCATATTGATTCTTTGGAACATATTGATGAGATATGAAGAAAAATATCTTTCCTAGGCTCTGTGCACTGCAGGGCATATGCTTGCAGTCCTTAGTGATCTAGAGAGTTGAGTGTGGCCAGTATGTCAAAACTAAAGTTTTCAGTCCATTTAAATCTTTATAATGGATAGCATTTGGAGAAAAACTGTTCCTTTCTTATAAAATATTGGAAATGAAGGTTTGAGAACATTAGCAACACATATGATAGGAGACATGAAGAGAGGAATTGTGTTTAGAAAAGTTTCCCTTTTCTTTCTTCTAAAAATACAAGTAATAAAATTATATTATTTTTTAAAGTATTTCTTTTCCCATAGACCTGAGTTTGGAATAGAATAGTGAACAAAAGCCAGAAAATTATGGCTTTATCAGCATTAAAATTGTGGTGGTGGTGGCAGAATTTGCACCTAATCTATAGTACTTAGATGGATATGGGAGCATTTTCATCATAGTTTCCTGAATCTTGTAGTTATGTTATTAAAGCCTAAAATGGGATGTGGTGCAAGGTGATACGTTACTTGAAATATTACCAGAAAGGGAGATATTATAATGATCATACTGAATTCGGAACTACTTTTTTCCCCTTCAGAAAATACTCAATTTGGGACTGTATGTTCCAGAGGGAAAAATAATTATATGGCAAAATACAAATTAACTAAATAGAAGGAATATGAAAAAATGATCTTGTAAACAATTGGTTATTTTCTTTATCCTTTATTTCAAAACATCTGGTTTTGAAAGAAAACAGAGGTTATTCTGGGAAGAAAGAGAAGGTCAATCACAGGCACTTCTTTCAAAGCTGAATCACTTTTCTATCAACAAAGGCCTGATAAATACTATGGTGAATCATGCACCTGTGATTATGGTCCTTGGACAGGATTTAGAATGAAAGGAAAAAAACTTACAGGAAACATTTTGTCATGGATGTGAGAAAAGACTGTTGAGCTGTGGTAAATATATATGATTGAGAGGATAAAGGATAGCTGAGAGGTAGAGACATGCCTAAGCAAGACATATGAGAGCTTAGGAAGTGCTACACTAAGAACGTTCCTGGATTTAAAGCTCCAAAGAGTAGCTATGCTATGTGGAATGGTTCTTAATGAGGATATTGGCACTCAACAATTTGTTGTACAGCTAAGGCACTGCTGACTTTTTCTCTGACTTACAAGTCTGGCAGATAAGATAAAAAAATAAAATGCATGTACATACAAACGCACATACACACACAATTCTGGGTACTTCCAGAGTTTAAGAAAAGCAATAAATAACTCAAATTATGTTAGGGTTATGTCTTGACTTTCCAGCTATGCTTGTATTTAACATCTCAATGGCAAAAAGCCTTGGGAGACCTAGCTCCATGAGCATTATATTTACCTTTTGTTTTTCCTGCATAACTGATGCATCCAGCTAGGTTCAAATTCCTTACATATCTTCTTCTTCTTTTTTTTTTTCAAATTTAATCTTCTTAATAGTCTCTGAGGTAGGTAGTACTCTAATTCCAAATTTTACAGATGAGAAGATGAGGTGTGAAAACATGAGCCCTGAATTTTGTATGCCCATCTGTCTGTATAGGCTACTGCTACTTGCATTCCTAATAAAATATTTCTTCCATATATTATTATTCTTTTTGGGTAACTTTCAAGGTGCTCAGTGCCTACAGACCAAGTAATGTAATTTTATGAGGTGTTTTTTAATTACTAGATATTTGTTTTTTAATAGTTCTGTAAATTTTCAGTGAGCCTGTTTTACTCTTGTTATTGACATAGCAAAATCTGAATCTCCATGTAGCAGGTTAAGGAGTTATCATTATAAATCATGTAAAAAAGTATCCAATCACTTGGAACTAAATTGATTCCTTTGCCCCTCAAATCACTGATCTTGAAACAAAATCAGAAACTTGGCAAGATGGGCTTAAATTCTTAAATGAAAAGACTCAAACAATACAATCTGAACTACAGACCTCTAAAGCTCTCTCAGGAGTTTTAATTAAGGATAATGCTGTTCTCTTCAGGTGAGAGAGAGAGAGACTTTAAAACTTCGTGAAAAAAAATTAAAAAAGCAATGGATCTTAAATGCATGTGAGAACTCAGAGAGAAATGCTACATACTAATCCTTCTGCTATAATTGAAGCTATTTTGAAGATTTCATTCTCATCCCTCCCTTTCTGCCAAAGGCTAGTGCCTTTGCATGCCAATGATAAGGTTCAATATCCACACAAGCTCAGAGATGTCTTCCTTGGGGATTTCGGAAGCAGTGCTGTAGATAAAGATAGAATTGCCTCTATTATAAGAGAAGGAATTAAGTATGAAATATAAAGTGCTTTCTCCTTTTAATTATCCCTTTGCTTTTTATTCAAAGGTCTTTGGGCTTTCTCCCAGAGAGGTACTATTTTACCTTTGACAACACTTTCTATCCTCATATACTGTGATTCATTTACTTTACCACTGAATAAAAAAATTAAAAACCAATAAACAGCTGGGCATGGTCGCACACACCTGTAATCCCATCAGTTTGGGAGGCCGAGGCAGGCAGATCTCTTGAGGTCAGGAGCTCGAGACCAGCCTGGCCAACATGGCGAAACCCCATCTCTACTAAAAATACAAAAATTATCTGGACATGGTGGCAGGTGCCTGTAGTCCCAGCTACTTGGGAGGCTGAGTTAGGAGAATCGTTTGAACCTGGGAGGTGGAGGTTGCAGTGCGCCGAGATTGTGACACTGCACTCCAGCCTGGGCAACAGAGTGAGACTCAGTCTCAAAAACAAACAACAACAACAACAACAAACCAATAAACAAACATTCTCCATAAGACAATACAATAGAGTAGTCCTCATCCATAGTACAAAATTAGCCAAGACCTACGGTGTTTGGATCATGGAGAGTTAGAAAAGATAGTGTTGATAATTTTTTTAAATGGTATAATTTAAGACGGAAGGTACCACATTAAATAAATTGAGTTTCCCATTTCTTCTTAAAAAATTCCATCTGCTATGTTGGGTTTGAATTTTTGCATGGAAAAAGTAACTTCTATTTTGTGGTGGCCTGTGGTGTCTCCAGTCTATCATATATGCCAACCCTTCATATTAATCCAAACATCTGCCACTGCTTTTGTAGACTTTTGAGATTTCCACATCTGCATGGCATTTATTCATGTGATATTCATGGCTTTAATTATCTGCAAGCAGATTTCAAGTTCCAGGATATAAAATAATGTGTCACTTTACTGAGGATCATATTAACTATGTCTGCTGTAAAATAGTGTACAGTAGCATATCATTGAGTTAGAGAGTGGCCATACCCCATTTCCATTTTCTTCATCTCATTCCAATATTTTATTTTTCAATTCATTAATGAAGGTAAAATAATTTAAAAGTAAACAGTCCAAATGCAGTGGCTCATGCCTATAATCTTAGCACTTTGAAAGTCCAAGGCACGAGGATTGCTTGAGCCCAGTAGTCTGAGACCAGCTTGAGCAACATAGTGAGATTCTATCTTTACAATAAATTTTAAAAATTAGCCAGGAATGATGGCATGTGCCTGTAGTTTCAGCAACTTTGGAAGCTTAGGTAGGAGGATCACTTGAGCCTGGGAGGCCCAGGCAGTGAGCTGTAATCATGCCACTGCACTCTGCCTGGATAATGGAGTGAGATTCTGTCTCAAAAAAGAAAAAATAAATAAAATAAATACACAAGAAAATAAAAAACATTACAATGATATTAGTTTTTGCTTTGATAAATGACCCTTAGGAGAAATCCAAATTCAATTCTCATTGTAGAAAACAAAAAATAATGAATATATCTAAAAGTGATATGTTTAATGAGTGATGTTATATTCATTAGTGGGCTTGATTCATGCCATGATGAAAGCAACATGGATATTTTATGAAAAAATGTAAAAAGATATTTTTAGAATACTCCTAATGAATGTTACAGCTAAAACAAAATTATCAGATAAAAGAGAAAACTTAAGTGGGAATTAAAATTGCAGTTTAGTTGAGATATGAATATACTGCATAAGGAATATATAACAATACCTAGCAATGTGGTTTTAAAAGAATCTACAAAATAGATTATACAAATACTCCATAAATTACTGGGAGGTAAATGAGACAAACAGGGGTTTATTTCAAGTAAAATCTAATTGTAAAATTTTAAGAAGTTTTTTTTTATATAATCCATTCAGTTATACCACTAATATTTGTTGAATGACAATTAAAACCATGCATTGTTCTTTCACCTAAGTACTCTTATAGCCCAATGGGGGAGGTAGGCATTAAATAATTAATTACACAAACATGTCAGTTGCACCAGAAGATTGTTCGATGCAATTTATTAAATTGTTACCAGGGCATGGAAGAAGGGAGATGGTGAGGAATAGATACTGGATTTATCTTATAGATGATGAGACTATTACAAAATTAGATACTAGTCATGGTTGCACAATTCTGCATATGCTAAAAATCCTTGAATTGTACACTTTAGTGAAGTCAATTTTATGTCAATTATACCTCAAAATAGTAAGTATTTTTTAAAATATGCCTCTTTGTGCCTCAAAGTCCTCCCTCCAGTGACATTTCTAAAGCTTAGAAGAATATTTAACGTCATTTCTATGGCCTCTTTGGACCCCAATTTTAAGGAAATATTTCTCCATCCTCAGCTGCTACCATTCTGTGCTTTATTAACTGTGTTCAATTACAGACCACCTTGCTGTTCTAAATTGCCACACTTATTCTTGCCTAGTGCCTTCACCCTTGCTATTCCTCTTCCTGGGAAGTTAGTAACCTGAATAATTTGATAGTTCACTCTCTTTTTTACATTGAAATCTCTGTTTGAATACAAAATATTTAGAGATGCTGTTTTTGAATGCAGTATGTGAAATAGCTCATTTCCTCCACCTCCTTCAACCATCCACTTATTTATATTTATTTTTATAAGCTTTAATACTTCTTATTGTACATATAATGACTTATTATTTATGTTTTTAGTATTCTATTTAATGAGACAAAACTTTTGTTTTATTTACTTACATAATTTAGGAATTTTTCCTGAGTTAAATAGAAAAATGTAGGAGTGAATTAAATATGCTGAGTTTGTTGTACATGCCAATTAACACTTGTCTTAGTTTTGTCATCTGCAAGATGTGAATAATAATATATTAGAGTAAGAGAATAATAATATTCTATTTTGGGAATATTTAATGGTTGAATGAAATAATGTGTGCAAAATATCTGGCATGTACTCTGCTTAGCTATCTTAGAAGACAGACATCCAAAGCTAACTTTTACTTCATAGAAATTATAGAGCTTCTGCATTTTATCACAGCTTCATGGACACAATCACATAGAAGCACTAATAATTTTACCCTATTTTAAAAACATCTGTACTTAAATTCCAAGAAATGAAAGAAAAAAAAAAGAGAGAAGGAAAGTAAGAAGCAAAACATTCAAGGTTTAAATGTAAGATACTTTTAGATCTTAAAAGTGGATATTGTTAGTGATTTCTTGAATTGCTTCACTTAATGTCACAAAAGTCTCTGGAGTAATTGGATTACTTGTCCCACAGCACTTGCTAAAGGAAAGAATTATTCAGGCCTGCTGATTTATCCACAGAAATAATCTGCAGAATGAAGACTTGAGTGCTGAACCAATTTTATGCTGTCAACATCTAAAAGAGTGTTGCCCAAAGGAGAGCCTAAAAGCTGAGGATCTGAACATTCTGCAGGTTTTCTTGCTTTTATTAATATAATAGGAATGATACTGTGCTACATCTTCTTCCCAATAACATATATATATATATATATGTTTTATATATATATGATATATATGTGTGTGTTATATATGTGTGTTATAATGTTTATGTGTTATATATATGTGTGTGTGTATATGTATACATATACACACACACATACACAACCTTGAATAAAAGTACCAAGTTGTTGAACATAGAACATGTACTTAAGTATCTGAACTGTCCAATCATTTATTCAGACAAGAATCATGTAATGCATGCCAATGTTTTCATGGGTATGCTTGCCCTGGGGACTATAGTAAAAAATAAAACAAAGACACCGTATGTCTTCATGGAGATTACAGTGTCATGGTGGATACAGGCATTAAACAAACTAGCAAAAATATACAAAATAAATATTTTCATTTTAAAAGAGTTATGGGTTAGGAGGAAAAAACAGCAACATCTAGATTCCAAGTAGAGAAAAATGGAGGGATAATTTAATTTGGACTGGAATTAAGACAGAATTCCTTAAGCGAATGACTTGGGTAAAAGACTGCTAATTTAGTCAGAAGCAGTCAGGAAGCCTGAGGGAGTTATAGGTTAAAACCATAACCAAAAAGTGATATGTACACATTCCTGCGAGAAGAGATACCTGAGACTATTTCAAAAAAGAAATATAGTGTCTGGGAAACAGAAATGAAGGAGGCACATTTTTTAAGGTGGGGCTAAAAGAGTAGGCAAGGAACAGAACTTGCAAGAACTTTTAGTTTATTTTTATTTTTTAAAATGCATTGTTAAAGGGCTTTAAAAAGAAATAATGCCAGTTTTAAAAATTAGTTTTATGGAGGCAGGGGACTATCTCAATCAGTTTTTTTTTTTGTTGTTTTAAAGATTACAAGTGTTTTTTTTTTAGGAGGCTATTGCTTCATTTTAAGTAAGAGGTGAGTTGGTTTGGACTGGGATATTAGGGCAGTAGTAATGGATAGACATGAATAGATTGGATTTTTTTTGGAGGTTTAATTGGCAAAATGTGAAGGAAGAGGAAAAGTGAGTCAAAAAACGACCAGTGCAATTATTTATTAAGAAATGTCTATGATGAAGGCCCTTGTGATACCTGTGACACAACCCCAAGTCATAAACACAGTCCCAACCTTTCATCTAGATCAAGAATGAATAACATTTTTTGTAGTTTTCTCACAGACATAACTAATAATAATAACACTATCTAACTTTATTGATTATATACATGCCCTACTCGGGACTACATATGCTTCTTACATATTATTTCATTATATCTTTAGAAGAATAATATGGAATAAAAATCATTATTTTCTTGATGTTATAATGGAGACTAAGGCTTTAGAAAGGTCATTTGACAGAACTTTCACTCTAATCCATATTTGTCTCATTTATAAGCCATTGTGGCCCTAGTTGTCAAACCTAAATTAACATGGGCATTCTCTAAAGTCCTGGTTAAAATACACATTCTGAGGTCTGAAAGCAAGTTTTTTGATTCTGTAGATATATGGTTTGGCCTAGGATTCTATAGTTTTAATATCCACATAAAAAAGCTGGTGAGAATCACACTTTCATAAAGGCTGACACAACTCTAACAGATTTTCTTCGAGCATGTGGGTGTTGAGGTAAAAAGAACTGCAATTCTACCCTCCTGTAACACTCCAAATATGATTTGGAACGTTTTCTACTTTCTACCTTGTTGGAGTATTACAGGAAACTACTCAGCCTTTAAAGCTTGCATTCTTAATACTGTAATCTGAGGAAGTATATCAGTGGCCAAGCACAAGGGAAGCCAATATGGTGGTAAAAGTTTCAGTATTCAGTTTTACTTTCATTGATTTTCCTAGAAAATATCTTGTCTCCTGAGATAAACCTAGTTTAAAAGCAATGGAAAGAAGACAAGTTGGATTCCAGCACTGCGTTAGAAAGAATATCTATCAAATAATCAATAGCTTCATGGAGTAAATATGGAATATAAATTCCATCTTGCAATACTATTGCCAGCACATTCTTTGCTTTAATACTCTCCCTAATTCTCACATCGTAGGCTCTCTTTACTGTAAGTTGTGATAGAATCTATTCTGATTGTGGTAGATACTCATGTCAACTACTTCTCAGTTAGATGAAGCTTTCCATTTATTTGATATACAGGTAATAAAAATTGTTGCTAGTAATAATAAATGATGCATAAAGTGTTCTTTCTCTGAAAACTATAATCAATAACATTCCAAAATATTGCACTCTAATATGACAAGCCTGTTCTTAGCTTGTGCCACTCCATCATATTTAAATCTATAAACTCCACTTATTATTTCAACTACTAACATTTATTCCAGAAATGGTAGTAGAGGACAAAAAAATGACAGTTTAGCGTTCACAAGGATATTAATGCTTACAACAGCATTTTGAATGTATAAATTTGTTCAAACTTATTCATGTATTTTTTTCTACTGTATATTATTTGACAATTATCAAATTAAAATCCTGATAGAATAACTCTACTAAAATTACAGAAATAATAATTCATATACTATTAGTACTACTAATACATGTATTATCACAGCCTTTAATTATATTAATGAGAATAAAATGAAAATACTAAACAAAAATTTATAAAAATATGTAATTAAATACATATTTTTAAACACTGTTCACTTCAACATATAGCTGAAAAATGAAAAGATGTAATTGGGCCACTGAGCTGCTGTTAAGCAGATACTATTCTATTTGAAAGGCTAAAATGACTTTAATACAGAGCTGTTTTTGAGGAGTACAGGACAACTTTTATAAAGACAGTCACTACAGGGGTTAAGAACACAGACTATGGAGTAAAATCCAGATTCAAATTCTTAATATTCTGTTCACCAGTGGGGAGTATTTGGAACATTTATTTAACCTTTCTGAACTTTGGTTTTCTTGTTCTACAACTGGAAAAAATTTCCCATTGGTTTTAAGTTCCAAAAGTTATGAGAAATAATAAAAATGTTTTTTTAGCAGAATATTTTACATACTGCATTTATTACCAATTAGATAGGGAGTATGACTTTCAGCTTCTCAAGTGAGAGTAAGTTAGTTTAAAATCTTGTTCTGTACATACCCCATTTGAGACAATTGAGGTCATAGAAAGCTCCCTGAACCTCATTTTGTCCTCTATAAAATGGGGCCAATGATAGTATCAATGTGTTTTGAGAAGTTGCTGCATGGAACAGGAATGGTGTTACTGCTATTGCTAACAAAGCATTTTTTGAGAAGACAAATTTATGATTACTGCACAGTTTTCCACATGCATATTTTTTGTTTAATATGTTGCCTAGGCAAAGTTTTAATTCCAGTTAAGTCTCCATTGAGAAATAAGTATAACTTGGACATACTCATTACTGCACAAGTGTAGGTTTGTGTCTGGAATTGGTGGGTTCTTGGTCTCACTGACTTCAAGAATGAAGCCGTGGATCCTCGCGGTGAGTGTTACAGCTCTTAAGGCAGCACGTCTGGAGTTGTTCGTTCTGATACTCAGATGTGTTTGGACTTTCCTCCTTCTGGTGGGTTCGTGATCTCACTGGCCTCAGGAGAGAAGCTGCAGACCTTCGCGGTGAGTGTTACAGCTCATAAAAGCAGTGCAGACCCAAAGAGTGAGCAGCAGCAAGATTTATTGCAAAGAGTGAAAGAGCAAAGCTTCCACAGTGTGGAAAGGCGACCCCAGTGGGTTGCCACTGCTGGCTGGGGCAGCCTGCTTTTATTCCCTTATCTGGCCCCACCAACATCCTGCTGAGCTGATTGGTCTGTTTTACAGAGAGCTGACTGGCCCATTTTGACAGGGGGCTGATTGGTGTTTTTACAATCCCTGAGCTAGACACAAAAGTTCTCCAAGTCCCCACTAGATTAGCTAGACACAGAGCACTGATTGGTGCATTCACAAACCTTGAGCTAGACACAGGGCACTGATTGGTGTGTTCACAAACCTTGAGCTAGACACAGAGTGCTGATTGGTGCATTTACAATCCTTAGCTAGACATAAAGGTTCTTGAAGTCCCCACCAGATTAGCTAGATACAGAATGCTGATTGGTACATTTACAAACCTTGAGCTAGACACAGAGTGCTGATTGATGCATTTACAATCCCTTAGCTAGACATAAATGTTCTCCAAGTCCCCACCAGATTAGCTAGATACAGAGTGCTGACTGGTGCATTCACAAACTCTGAGCTAGACACAGAGCACTGATTGGTGTATTTACAATCCTCTAGCTAGACATAAAAGTTCTCCAAGTCCCCACCAGACTCAGGAGCCCAGCTGGCTTCACCTAGTGGATCCTGCACCAGGGCCACAGGTGAAGCTACCCGCCAGTCCCTTGCTGTGCACCCGCACTCGGCCCTTCGGCAGTCGATGGGACCAGGTGCTGCAGAGCAGGGGGCGGCGCTTGTCGGTGAAGCTCGGGCCACCGTGCAGGAGCCCACCTTGTGGGGGAGCCACGGTGGGCTGCAGGTCCCAAGCCCTGCCCCGTGGGGAGGCAGCTGAGGCCCACCAAGAATTCCAGTGCAGCACCTGCGGGCTGGCACTGCTGGGAGACTTGGCGCACCCTCCACAGCTGTTGGCCCGGGTGCTAAGCCCCTCACTGCCCGGGGCTAGCAGCACTGGCCAGCAGCTCTGAGTACGGCCCGCCGAGCCCACATCCACCCGGAACTCGCACTGGCACGCGAGCACCGCACACAGCCCCAGTTCCTGCCCGCGCCTCTCCCTCCACACCTCCCCACAAGCTGAGGGAGCCAGCTCCGGCCTCGGCCAGCACAGAGAGGGGCTCCCACAGTGCAGCCGCAGGCTGAAAGGCCCCTCAAGCACTGCCAGATTGGGTGCCGAGGCCGAGGAGGCGCCGAGAGCGAGAGAGGGCTGCGAGGGCTGCAGGCACGCTGTCACCTCTCAGGTTTACTTGGGGAATCTGAAATAAAAAGGTTGGAAAGTTAACTTTACTAAGAACAAAATGATATAATGCATTCCAAGAGTAAATTTTAATGCCTTTTAGAATGTCCTTGATGTTATTTCTTTCTTTACATGTGACTAAATTTATTAATAATTATTAAGTAAATCCTTAGGTATTATGTGAAAGCTTAATGCACTAAATTTATTATATTTCTACATATTCATAAACATTTTGGAAGATGGCTACCCAGCATGTAATTTTCAAGGCAGGCCTATAATACATATCAGTCAAAATGGGCAAGGGGATTGCAAACCATAATGTCTACAATTGAAAGGAGTACATTTCAAGATAGCTTTCGTTTTATGCAACTAGGACCTGAAATAAATATTGCCAGTGGGGATGTAAAGAACACTGTAGATTACCATCACTTTTCCTATCTAAAACACACATAATATTGGTAAAAATTCTGGCCTAGAAGATAAAATCATTATAAAACATTAGGAATATTGTTATCAGATGTTATAAACAAAATAAGGAGTCATACACACTCAGAAGTAATACTATAGATTATTTATATCACAAGTTTGTATAACATATTTAGAAATTATCAATAGTCTTTGAGAGACTCAATGTAAAACCTCCTGCAATATGAAGTATGCATTTATGAATGGTGAATGACATTTTATTTAATGCAACCCACAAAACTAAATGCAACTATATCTTGAGCTTTTATACAACTTGGCACAACTTCAAGCCAGGGAGAGCACTAGTCGTTGATGATGCTCATTCTTCTACAGTTTAGAAAAGATGCAAAAAATAAACTCAAACGATTTTAAAGAGGGCTAGACTTGTAAAAACACTTTTATTACGAGAGAAAAGGTCACTGATTTTCTAAACAGAGACTTTGCACTACATAAAAGAGAATTCATTTTATTAAATGAATGATGAGCCAAGAAGGTCACAGTAGCTTGAAAAGAACAATAGCAGGTCATGAGCTTATAAATCTTTGAAGAACTTTCTTTCATTTAAGAGGCTCAGGATTATTATTCGATTTGGTAAAGTGCAAGAAACAATAGGAGGTCATTCACACTGTTGCAAGGTATCAATTAACACTTTACAAATATTGAGTGTAAATTTTACCTAGATTTGACAGTGTGTAAAAAAAAAGGACAAAGTATATAATTTACATGGTTTTGCAAAACACAGCACAGAAGCAGGGGATTGATGCATGTGTAATTCTTCAATAATGTAGGTTATTTCAATTAATGTAAAAACAATCAATTTAACTTTCACACTGCTTATTTGATCATTCTTTATATTTTTATTCATTTTCTAATTAGCTTCCCCATTACTTAAACTAATCAAGTTTCAAAAGAACAAAGGAAGATAATTATTAATATTTCCAGTGATATTCATTTGTTTTTCTCTCAATGTCAGATTGTACATCCAGAGTAGGAAATTAACATTTCAAAGTATCTCTGTGCTCTGTGATATTTCTTATCAAATTCCAGGGAGAGTGGGGGTTTTATACACACACTCATATATATATGCAAACAAGTATTTTATATACATATAAAGTATGCACACACATACATATCACAAATAGCATATCCCATTTAGTTATTTGTCAATAAATTTTACTTTATCAAATACACAATAAAATTTTTGTAAAATATGGGATGGAGATTTTTGCACTTTTATATCTGTAATGTGCAGCCTGACATTTTGAACACACTATATACCAAAAAAATCTGTAAATTAGTCAGTAGGAATGAATCCGTAAAATACTTCTTAGCTTTGAGCAGAGTAATTGCTTTTGTTTCTATCAATTGTATAACAAATTAATTTCCATTTTAACTGTGACATGTAATGAGCATGGAAGACAACATTTTTGACCTTAAAATAAATAAACAACAAAAAAACTTGAACCCTGAAAATCATTGACTTTTTTGGATCTATTAGAGAAGCGAGCTTGCAGGGCAAACTGGCACCCAGAATCTGAAAAGATACGGAAATTCTTACACAGTTCCGGTAGAGATCTGTTTATTTGGAGCAAAGCAGCAGAAGCATAATGCGGAAGAAACACGTAAGTCATAATTGGATGAATTGCTGGAAGTTTCAAGTAGCCTAGCATGAGCGCAAAACTACCGAAGGCAACAGTCTTGGTATAGCCCAATACTTTTGCAGACTTAACATCCAAAACCTCTACCAGATTCACCTTATAAAGATCCAAAAATGATCCCTCTTTGTCTCTGGCAGTAGAAGGGGAAGGATAATCATTCCAAAAAACTTGCAGAACATTTTCCAAAAGAAAGGCCATTTTTCATGGAGAGAGACCTCACCAGAGCCTCTTCTCAGCTTCATCCCCTCCTAGCCTTCTGTTTTATCTAAGAGAGGAGGGGAAAGCTGTACCATCAGAGAACACCAGATTTTGAAGTTCCAAAGACATAGGCTCACTAAAGATTGAGAAGTAATAATATGGTGGAAAAATATATTTCTTCCCTCCCAATTTACCACTAATAAAACAGGGCTCCACTAAAGTAACAGTGCATTACTGCTGGAAGATTGGAAACATGCAGATTTTGTGAGAAGTATTTATGGGATTCTAAAGTCAAGTGGGGAGGCAAAATAAGTACGTAAGAGGAATTTGAATTCACTGATGCTTACAAGTATAGTAAACAATAAACACAGACAAACCCCTACTCACATTGTGTCCAGAATTGGTGGGTTCTTGGTCTTGCTGACTTCAAGAATGAAGCCGCACACCCTCCCCGTGAGTGTTACAGTTCTTAAATATAGTGTGTCCAGAGTTTGTTCCTTCTGATGTTCAGATGTGTCCTGAGTTTCTTCCTTCTGGTGGGTTCGTGGTCTTGCTGACTTCAGGAGTGAAGCCGCAGACCTTCGCAGTGAGTGTTACAGCTCTTAAGGGTGGCACGTCCGGAGTTGTTCCTTCTTGCTGGTGAGTTCGTGGTCTCGCTGGCTTCAGGAATGAAGCTGCAGACCTTCGTGGTGAGTGTTACAGCTCATAAAGGTACTGCATACACAGAGTAAGCAGCAACAAGATTTATTGCAAACAGGGAAAGAACAAAGCTTCCACAGGATGCAAGGGGACCTGAGCAGGATGCCACTGCTGGCTTGGGTGGCCTGCTTTTATTTGCTTATCTGGCCCCACCCACATCCTGCTGATTGGTCCATTTTACAGAGTGCTGATTGGTCCATTTTACAGAGTGCTGATTGGTCCATTTTACAGAATGCTTATTGGTGCATTTACAATCCCTTAGCTAGACACAGAGTGCTGATTGGTGCATTTACAATCCTTTAGCTAGACACAAAAGTTCTCCAAGCCCCACCTGATTAGCTAGACGCAGAGTGCTGATTGGTGCGTTTACAAACCTTTAGCTAGACACAGAGTGCTGATTGGTGCATCTACAATCCTTTAGCTAGACAGAAAAGTTCTCCAAGTCCCCACCCGACCCAGAAGCCCAGCCAGCTTCACGTCTCAACATCATCATAAATCTTCACACAAAAGGTTTACTTACTTCAGGCCCTATTACCCAACACATGCTTGGCTTGCAACAAAAAGTTAGAAGGCATTCTAAAAGGCAAGAGAAAACACAGTCTAAAGAAGAAAAACAAGTATCAGAATTATACTCAGATATGACAAAGACATTGAAAATATTAGGTGGGGAGTTTAAAATAATGATTTATATGTGAAGGGTTCTAAAGGAAAAAGTAGGCAACATGCAAGAACAGATGGGTAATGCAAGCAGAGAGAGAGAAACTAAGAATCATAAGGCAGTGCCATAAATCAAAAACACCATAACAGGAATGAAGAGTCCTTATGGTAGATTCATCAGTGGACTGGACATGGTTTAGGAAAGGATGAATCAGCTTGAATATAGGTCAATAAGAATGTCCCAAACTGAATATTGCAAAGAGGCTAAAGAAAGGAAAAAGACAAAAACGCAGAATAGTCAAGAATAGTGAGGCAATCACAAAAAGTGTAACATGTGCATAATAGGAATAAAGGAGAAAGAACAGAATACATACTTGAAGTAATAATGGCTGAGAACAATGCAAAAGTAATCCCTAACTAATTACAGGTGCAAAAATACTGATCCCAGAAAATCAAAGAACACCAGAGAGTATAAGGACCAGAAAAAAAAAACAAACTACATTATGGCATATCATATTCAAATGTTAGAGTAGGTACCTAGCCAGACATGAGCAGAGCAGGAGAGGTCCCCCCCAGGTATGTCAGGTGACCGTCAGGTGATGTTCAGGCAATTGTTAAACTTTCTCTTTAAAATAATAATTGGTCACAGGCAGCACCATGGAAATGCAGTCTCCCAATAGACAGAAAACACTTAAAGCTGGTCATCGCTCACTTTCCTGATAAGATCTCAGGAGTTTGGCAAGGGCTCAAACATGTGAACTAAGAGGCAAAATGGCAGTTTACCTGGTATATAACCTTCTTTTAAGAACGTTCAACTGATAAGAGAAAAACACCTCAAATGAACAAACACGAAACTTCAGTAAACATATTGTGCAGGTGGCCCCTTCTAAGTGCTGGCAGGCCACTGTGCATACGAACAGCCCATCCCAAGAGAAAATAAAGGGAAGAGAGACACAAACCCTAGAACCATTGCAATGTATAAAAACCGCCAAGTCAAAGGCTGAACAGCACACTTGGTTTTCTCAAGTTGCTCACTTGGCCCTCTTCCAAGTGCACTTTACTTCCTTTCGTTCCTGCTCTAAAATTTTTTAATAAACTCTCACTCCTGCTCAAAAACCTGTGTCTCTCACTCTGCCTTATGCTCCTAGGAATAGTTTTTTCCTCTGAGGAGGCAAGAATTGTGTTGCTGCAGAACCCTACAAATTCGCTGCTGCTAACGCAAACTTCAAAAAGAAACTACAAAGACATAGAGAAAATCCAGAAATAAAATAGATAAAAAACTCCATATTTTCTATAGAGAAATGATATTATAGTGGACTCTCATCAGAAACCATGCCAGAAAAAAAAAAAATGAACTTAAGTATTTAAAGTGTGGAAAGAAGAAAACCACAAAATTAATCTTTACCCAGTGAATTAATCTTCAAACTTGAATGAAGAGCAATAAATTTTTAAGAAAAACATTAAAGTGAAGGAATTCATTGCTAAGAAACCTGCCCTAAATGTAAAGTAATATCCTGAACGAGATTCTAAAATAAAAAAAGGAGTGTAGATTTAAAAGAAAAATAAGGATATCTAAATAAAATCTGCACATCAGTTATAACAATAAATCTACACATTGCTCTAATAATTGTAGCAAATTTAACATGCTAATGTTAGATGTTAATAAATAGGGAAAATTTGGTGAGGGCATATGGTAGCTGTCTTGCTTTGGGCAGCTATAACAAAATACTTCGATGCTTTAAACAAGAAACGTTTATTTCTCACAGTTCTGGAGGCTAGAAAATTCAATATTAAGGTGCCTGCAGATTTGGTGTCTGGTGAAGGCCTGCTTCCTAGTTTAGGGAATAACTAGAACTAAAGATATTGTTTATACAGCCAGGCAATAAGAAAGATAAATCTGCTTGTTTTACCTGTAAAACGTTACAGTATACATAGTGTCTATTATCATAGCATCTAATCTAATAGGGAAGGAAAAATAAGAAAGAGGGAAAGAAGAAGGAGAGAGAAAAAAGACAGGCGGAATAGAGGAAAAAGAGAGAGAGGGAGGAAAGGTGGGGGGAGAGAGAGAGAGAATAAGAATGAAAATCAGAATTCTAAAGGCTGGTTTATGTCATTCTTTGAGCCAACTAAACATGAGTTCTTGGCAGACAATATACCTCCTGTGATAATTCAGTAAATAAATGCATAATTATTTCCCTAAAAAAATCTGATCATCTAATAACCATATGGCAAATTGCAAAAATTTTAAGTTTAGAAACTTTATACTTTGAGAAATTTAACTCTTGAAACTATTTCTATGAAGCTTCCATATTACAAATGTAAAATATATCCATGAAAAATATCCAAAATATTATAATAACAAAAAAATTCTCCAAAGTATAATTGTATTTAGCACTGTTTTGTGAATGAAGCCTGAAGGGTATTAGTAAGATCCACATTTATTATGTTTGTCTGCATCAAGCCAATGACTTCCCTCAGTGGAATCAAAAGTTTTGATAGACTAATCAGAGAGGGCCAGGAACAAAAGGAAAATATTTGTTATGTATCTAAAGACATTTAAGTAATTTAAATTCAACTCTAAAGCTTCCCATGATAAAAGATAAAAAATGGGACCTAAGAAATTGAAGCTTTTAAAGCAGTTATACACAAAACTTTAGAAGCATGTTATTGTCCCTTTTGTCTCTGCCATTGCATCCATAGACAAATTGGGTGCAGGTTTTATATCACATACACTCTGTATCCTAGCTACTTTAGAGAATGGTTTTTTTTTTCTTTTCTTTTCAATTGTTGCTGTTTAAGTGAAGTCAGCACAAGACGTGATCTAAAACTGTACTACTTGGCATCTGAGCTAAAGATTAAAAAGACAAAAATAAAGATTTGTGTGTTTTGTAGCAACACTCTAATTTAGAAATATGTTTTCTGTTACGATGTATACAGAGATGCACAAAATTTGGCGGAAAAGGAAGAAAATTACATTAAAAAGCTTTTTAAAAAATTAGCTTTAGCAGTAATTGGGTCTTCTCTGTGTGCCAGACAATTTTTAAAGTGATTCCCAAATATTTAGGGAGTTAATTCCTAAGACAACCTTATTAGACAGGTACCATTATTATCCCTAATTTATATATGAGGGCATTAAGGCACAAAGAAGACAGTGGAAATGATACATAGAGAAAGTAGGTAACTTGTCCAGTGTCTCTCTGCTCATCATCTGTGAAGTCAAGAGGTAAACACAGCAGTCTGGTTTCAGTCTCTGTGTCCTTTACACTATGCTGCCTCTCAAGGGGAGCTTTATTAAAGCAAGAAAAATTCTTTTCAAACTGCAGATTTAAGAAATGATACATTTTGTTCCTATTACAGAAGGCTCTAGCAACCCTAGTATTACTGTGCTACGCCTCCTGAATGCATTAAGAAACACCAGAAATTATTACCAAGTTTTGATCTCTGGTATCTTTCTCTGTGGAAAGGTTCTCGGAGTCCTTGGAGACATAGTGATTTCATGCGTTAATATGAGGACTCAAGATGTGCCTGAGAACTTTTGCTTCAAGAAAGAAAAGAAAGTCCAAAGATGTCAGTTAGTGACAAAGGAGTCAGAATTGTCTCCCATTAACCACTTTTGACAATGTGAGATTCAAATAGAAAAAGAGTACAATTAATTGGAACCAATTTTCTTTAAAAGACTACAAGCTGTTAAATGCTTAAATGTTTTAAGGATACAAAGTTTGTTAAAGAAATGTCATATTAACCAATGTTAACCAGTAGTTTTGTGTCTGACTACAAAAGGAATTGCAGTGAATTGATACAATACCACGCATCAACAGTAAGGGGAAACAAGTATTTTTTAATCTTCGTTGTTGTTCCAATCTCATTACTTGAAACCATGCTGGGATTAACTGGGGTGATTGACCTTGGACACTAAAAAGCAGAAGGCAAAGTAATGCTCAGGAAGACTTGGGAATAGATTTTGCTTTTGCCCCCAAAAGACAGTATGAGTGCTGAGTTTGGCTTATAAATAGAAAAGCCCAGTGTTCTTTAAACACTTTCTTATAGAGGTGCATAAAGTGTTAATACAATATCTTTGAAACGGTAACTTAAACCTGAGAATGAATAGATAACTTGCAAGAATTTGCTCTTTCTCTTATCTGACAGTATCCTGCATATGGAATGTTAAGAAGGACTAAACACATTGCTCCTTAGGAAACCAAGGAATAGAAGCAAAGCTGTTTTAAGATATCTTATATCAGCTTCTCCTCTGTGGAGCCAATTTTCATTATGTCCTGTACTTTTGGCTATATAAATGGACAATTTATAGCAGATATATGTGTTTAGTCACATCAAATTAATGTGACCTGTCTGCATTATTGAAAATCCCATACCTAATTTAATATACCCGGATAACTTGACTGATTACTTGCCTAAATATAAAAATTAAATTGAATGCTTATGTGGGGGAAGGGGAGCATAGGGTAACTCTCTGTTCTTTCTGCCCAATTCTGCTGTGATCTACAAGTGTGCTAATAAATAAAGTCTGTTTAAAAATTAAAGTGCATAAACCAAATGCTAGAAAACAGAACTTTAGGAAGAAACTTTTAAATCTTAGAGATGAAAACCCTAAATAAAATTAAAAAGCAAGAAGGCACAAAAGAAAAGATAGAGAAAACTGGCTATGTAAAAATTAAATAGGTAAATACTGATTTAGATAGTCTGAGGAAATTATTTTCAAAACATATCACAGAAAAGGAGTAAAAACATTGGTAAAAACATAAAATAATAGAAAACCAGGGAACTATGCCATTAGGAAACTCAAAGAAGAATTGCAGATGGCCATTAAACATTTCATTCAAAATAATATTTTGTAACAATTAGCCAAATGTATTTTAATTTCCTCTTAAATTGAATTCCCAGCTGCAAAGTAGAAGAAGGATACTTTTCCTTACATGGGCAGAATAGGGATGGTATTTGACATTCTTAAGAAGGAAATAAAATTGGAGTGGAGGCTTAAGAATAGAGAAGATGTCTAAATCCCTCCTGCTTTTTAAAACCAAATTTGTTTGTTCAAATCTTAGAATTTATTCTCAGAGTATTAATATGTCTTCCATCTAGGTCGAGCTAACTGGCAAGCCATGGCACTCTATGGTGGAGAAAGAATATGATGAGGGGAAAGAAAATTGAAGTTGTCTATTTGCATGAATTAATGTGGGAAGATTGAGGAGAGAGAGAGAGAGAAGAAAATGGTCATGTCTGTGTTTTGAATCTCTGGGCTTGGATTCCCAAAGAGCAGAAATGTTAGGTTAGAGAAATGAAAAGAGCATAAAAGAGTTTGTTCTACTCTCTGAGACCCTTAAGAAAGTTTGCTTTATAGCTTCCTACACATCTCACCTGAGAGACGTTCACAATGCATGCAAAAACAATATTGGAACAAGTGCTGTACCCTCCCCTACTTTTATTTTTTCTAAGAAGCACTTTATTTTTCCTTACACAGTGATGTGTTGCTGGGGCCTTGGAGTTTTCATAAAGAACTAAAAATACCATTTGACTCAGCAATCCTATTATGGAGTATATAGCCAAATGAAAATAAATTGTTCTACCAAAAGACACATACACTTGCGTGTTCATTACAGCACTATTTGCAATAGTAAACACATGGAATCAGCCCAGGTGCCTATCAATGGTGGATTGGATTATGAAAATGTGGTACAGATACACAATGGAATACTATGCAGTCATGAAAAATAACGAAATCCTGTCCTCTGCAGCAAGATAGATGCAACTGGAGAACATTAATACCACATGTTCTCACAAGTGGGAGCTAAACAGTGAGTACATATGGACATAAAGATAGAAATAACAGACAATGAGGAATACAAGTTGGGCAAGGAAAAAGGGGATAAGAGCTGAAAAACTACCTATTGGGTACTATGATCACTATCTGGGTAATGGGTTCAGTTGTACACTAAACCTCAGCATCACACAATATACCTCTGTAACAAACCTGCACATGTACCCCCTGAATCTAAAATAAAAGTTGAAAAAACATTTCATCAGGAATGCAAAAAAATATATAGGTTAAATAAAAATATCTAATAGAAAATTGAAGAAAAAAATGTGAACAAAATCTTAACAACGAACAAAAGAGGTAAAAATGACTCACACATGGGAAGAAGTTTCATTTTATTCAAAAGAAGTGAATGTAAATTTTTTTCAAACTGAGATTTTGTATTTACAGGTAAAATGATGTAACAGGGACCAATTTATACTCCAACTACAACAAGCAAAAAGTAAAGCCAAAAAATATGAAACAAAAATTTTCAAGACACTGGATTTTATGACATAAAAGATAATGATCTTTGAGTGATAGAAAACAAATAATGTCAGCCCTGGGATTTATTAGCTTAATGTATTGAGTAAATTTTGAAACAGTGGTGCAGAGAACGTAGGTAAAACCTGGGGTACTCTCTCTGTTGGGGGGATTGAGCTGAGGGTCTAGGAAGAACAAGGTGATTACGATTTGTTGAATGGTGTACAAAATAGGTTTCTATGAAAGGTGGAAAAATATATACAATGTTAATACAGTTGAGAGGAAGTTAGGATAGCTATATTAATATCAAAGTAGATTTCAAGGCAAAAAAATATTACAAGGTATAAAGAAGCTTACATCATGAAGATAAAATGTAATTTTTTTTCACAGGATATAAAAAGCCTAAGCATTTATATGTGTAGTCAGAAAGCTTCAAAATATATAGAACAAAAAGTGCTAGAAATTCGCAGAGAAATTAAAAGATCTAAAACTGTAGTCAGAGACATCAATAACCTCTCAAAAATTCACAAAACAAATAAAAAATCAGAAGCAAATAATAGAAATGAAAAATACTATTAATCAATTTGAACTAATTGATATTTATAAAACTCCATTCAACAACAGCAGAATACACATTTTCAAGTGCAACCGTTTAATCAGACAGATCATAGTCTGATCTTAGTCTGTCCCATAAAATAATTGAAAGCTTTTCTTCTAAGATCTGGACTCAAGCAAGAATACCTATTTTCACCATTTTCTTTCAACATTATACTGAATGTTCTAGCCAGATAGATTACGCAAGAAAGAAATAAAAACATCCAAGTTGAAAAGAAGAAAGCTAATTTACCTGATTGCAGATGACATGATCTTATAAATAGAAAACCCTAAAGACTTCATCAAAAAAAACCTGTTAGAACTAATAAGTGAATTCCATAAAGTTGCAGGATACAAAATCAACATACGAAACAACTAGTGTTTCTATATTGCCATTACTGAACTATCTGAAAAATCAAGAAAATAATAACATTTACAACAACAAAAAGAAAGAAAGCTAGGAACAAATTTAACCAAGGAGGTAAAAGATCTCTATAGTAAAAACTATAAAGCATTAATGAAAGAAATTGAAGAGGACACAATAAATAGGTATTCTCTGTTCAGGGATTGAAAGAATTAATATTGTTAAAATGCCCATATTACTCAAAGTGATCTACAGGTTCAATATACTTTTGTCAAAACATCAATGATATTCTTCCCCAAAATAGAAAAAATCTCTGAAGTTTGTACAGAACTACAAAAGACCACAAATAGCTGCAAAAGTAATCTTGAGCAAAAAGATGAAAGCTTGAACTACCTGACTTCAAAATATACCATAAAGCTACAGTAACCCAAACAGCATAGTATTGACATAGACACACAGAAAAATCTATACAGCCAAATGATTCTTTACAAAGACCCCAAGAACACAGATTAGGGAAAAGAATTTTTTTTTTCAATAAATGTTGCTGGGAAAACTGGATCCTCACATGCAGGGAGAATAAAACTAGATCTCTGTTTCTCATAACTTACAAAAATAAATTCAAAACAAATTAAAGACTTAAATGTAAGACCCCAAACTAAAACTACTAGAACAAAACATAGAAATATTTCATTAGATTGGTCTGGGAAAGCATTATTTTGAATAAAAACTGAAAAGCACGGAGGACATAAGCAAAAACAGACAAATAGGATCACATCAAACTGAAAAGCTTCTGCACAATAAAAGGGACAATCAACATATGAAGAGGCCACCTACAGAATGGGAGAAAGTTTTTACAAACTATACATCTGAGTAGCGGGAAACATTTGGAAAATGTAAAGAACTCAAACAACTCAATAGCAAGAAAATAAATAATCTGACTAAAAAGTGGGCAAAGCACTGTTGGATACAGTGAGTTCTTCTTCAAAGTTTCCACTTGTTCAACTCCCTCGTTCTTTGTCCTCTAATTTCAAAGCCAAACTTCCTTGCCTCCTTGCTCCTAGTTATGGTAAACAACCTTCCAGCCATTGCCAATCTGTAACCCACATCCATTCCCAATCTGTAACCCACATCCATTCCCAATCTGTAACAACCCACATCTTTTCCTTATTTGGTGCCCTTAGTTCCAAAACTGTCCTTTCTGCAGCTGTAGCCCCCACCAATGCTCTACTTGAAGTAGCCAATTGGGATCAGCTTAGATTGTGTGGTGCAACTCCAGCCAATGGGGACCAGACACAGTAGCAGGGGCTGACTGCCTCAGGGATAAAAACCCCTTCCCTCCTTTGTTCAGTGTGCTCTCCCAGCAACCAGAAGAGCAAGCAGCACCCTTCTGCAGAAGTAAATTTGCCTTGCTGAGAAATCCTTTGAGTGCTCATTTTCTTTGCAACTCCGAACTCTTATTTCCAACAGCAGTTGAATAGGCATTCCTCAAAAAAAGATATACAAATGGCTAACAGGTACATGAATAAATGCTCAATATCACTAATCATCAAGGAAATGTAAATCAAAATCACAGTGAGATACCACATTGGAGTGAGATACTCCAATTACAATGACTATTATCAAAAAGACAAAAAATAAATACTAGCATGGATATGGAGAAATGAAAACATTTACACAATGTTTCTGGGAATGTAAATTAGCAGAGCTAGTATGAAAAACATTTTACAGATCCTAAAGGAATTAAAAAAAGAACTACCATATGATCCAATAATCTCACTACTGGGAATACATCCAAAGAAAATGAAATCAGTATGTTGAGAGATATCTGTACTCTCATGTTTATCACAACACTATTTGCAGTAGCTAATATATGCAATCAAATTAAATGTCCCTAAATAGATAAATGCATAAAGAATATGTGATATATACACATAATGGAATACTATTTAGCCAAGAAAAATAATAAAATCCTGTTATTTGTGATAACGTGGATGAACCTGAAGGACATTATGTTAAGTGAAATAAGCCAGACACAGGAAGACAAATCCCACATGATCTTATTCATTTGTGGAATCTAAAAACCTTATCTCATAGAGGTACAGAGTAGAAATAGTGGTTATGAGTAGAGATTGATCAATGGGTATAATATTCCAGTTAGGAAGAATAGTTCTCTGTTCTACTGCACAGTGGCTATAGTAAGCAATATTGTATTTTATACTTCAAAATAAATAGAAGAGAGTATTTTGATGTTCTTACCACAAAAAAATAAATCTTTAAGGTGACAGATATGCTAATTGTCCTGATTTGATCATTGTACAATGTATACATGTATTGAAATAACAAACTGTATTCCATAAATATATATATGTTTATTATGTGTTAATTAAAAGTGAAATAAAACTTTAAAAATACACCCACATATTTTTCCTCCTTATTTTCCAATATAATAAGAGTTTTTGGTTAAGTCAGCATTAATGTTTACATTATCATGATGGTGTATATCAGTCAGGGTACTAGCAAATGCTGATGGCACTTGAACTGGATAATATGAGAGGAGTTTAATAAGAGACTATGTATAAGAGTGTAGGCATGGTATAGGGAAACCAGTAGGGATACAGCTGGTAAACAACTGGGATGCCTTTGCTATTCATAGGCCTCAAAGAACCTGCAGACAAACTGCTGTATATAGAGAGCTGTAACTATATGCAATCAGCCTGGCATAACTACACTAGAGGCAGAGCCTGGAAACTTCTTATTCTCAACTCACCTCTTCCCTTCTTCCCTTTGATCTGCTGGGGCTCAAAATAACTTTTTTTTTTTCTCACTCTGTCATCCAGGCTGGAGTGTAATGACGCAATCTCGGCTCACTGCCACCTCTGCTTCATAGATTCCAGCTATTCTCCTGCCTCAGGCTCCCGAGTAACTGGGATTACAGGCACAGGCCACCATGCCTGGCTAATTTTCTGTATTTTTAGAAGAGACAGGGTTTCACCATGTTGGCCAGGCTGGTCTCAAACTCCTGACCTCAGGTGATCTACCTGTCTTGCCCTCCCAAAGTGCTGAAATTACTGGTGTGAGCCACCGCATCTCACCTTCACAAAATTTAAAAATTATGAAGTTACGCAAAGTGTAATCTGTGATCACAATAAAATTTAACTTAAATAGTTAATAGTAGAAAGATATCTGAAAAAAATCCCCAAATAGATGGAAACAAAATTGTCTATTTCTGAATAAGCCATGGTTCAAAGAAGAAATCAAAAAGAAATTATCAAATATTTCAAACTGAGCGAAAAGAAATGTACAAAATATCAAAATTTGTGGGATGCTACCAATAGAAGGCTTAGAAGAAAATTATAGCCCTAAAAACTGCCAATATTAGAACATTTTTAAAAGTCACAAATCAGTGACCTCACTTTACACCCAAGAAATACTAGAAAAAGCAAGTAAGCAACATACTATAACTAATAATATTCAAAGCAGAAATCAGTATGGTACAAAACAAAACAAAAAAAGTTAAAAAGATATCAAAAGTTGTTTATTTGATGAGAAGTTTTATTAGTAAAAATGCTAAAACAGATGTTCAGATAAAAAGAGGCACAAGTTACAAATATCAGGAATAAGAAAGGTGCCTCATTGAATATTCTACAGTTTTACTAAAAGAGTAATAGGAAATATTAGGAAGAAATTTGAGAATATATTCAGAATTATATGAAATGGAAAAAAAAATTCAATAGAAACACAATACTGACTGTTCCTCAAAATGAACTAGATAATTGGAATAGCTCTACATTTGACATCTATGTTTTCATTTATGTATAAAAACCATAATAGTTTCTATAAAATAGAACTAATAAGTATGATTAACAAGATTGCATAATAAAATATTAATATACAAATTAGTTGAATTGCATTTTTAAATAAATGAAGAAATCACATCTGTAAAATGGCTTTATTGATAAATGCTACCACACAGTAAAGAAAGAAATAATACATTTTCCAGAAAATTGAAGAGGAAGAAATATATCCTCACTCATTCTATGAAGGCCACAATTGCCCTGATATCAATACTAGAAAAAGACATTTCAAAAAAAGAAAACTGCAGATGAACATTCCTCATGTTATAAATGCAAATGTTCTAAACACAAGACTGGCAAATCCAATCCAACTTCATAAAATAAGCTAATTCATAATGATCAAATGGTGTTAACATTAGGAAAGTTGGGCTTTCATATTTGGAAGCATCATTATAATCCATTATATTGATAAACTAAAAAAAAAAAGAAAAGCCATATAATTATCTCTGTAAATACAGAAAAAGCATTTGACAAAATTCAACACCGATTTCTGACCAAAACTCTTAGCAAATTAAGAATAGAACTTCCTTTACTACATCAGGGACATCAACAATAACAACAAAAACTTTAGCTGATATTTGATGATGAAAGAATGAATGCTCTTCTCTAAGATCTGTAGCCAAACATTGAAGCAAAATAACAAACAAATAAAAAATAACAAAAAGAAAATAATCCAAATTGAAAGAAAAAATTAAAAATGTATTTTTAATGTAAAACATAATCATCTGTGTAGAAAACATAATAGATTCTATTAAAAATAGAATTAATAAGTATGATTAACAAGAGTGAATAAAAATATTAATATGCAAATCAATCATAATTCTGTATACTATAAACTTCAAAAATTGAAATTCAAAGAGAAATTCTGATCACAACTGTATGAAAATATGAAGTACTTAGAAATAAATCTGACCAAAGATTTACATGCACACCAAAACAAAAATCTGAGATAAATTTTTGGAAAATCTAAAAAAAAAGATGACCTACAACTTGTTCCTGGACCAGAAAACACAATATTGTTAAGTTGTTATTTCTTGTCATATTGGCATATGAATTCAAAGCAATCCTGATCAAAACCTTATCTAGCATTTTGGTAAAATTGACAAGTTGATTTTATAATTTATATTGGAATGCATAAAAAAACTAGAAGAGCAAAAACAGCTTGAACAACAAAGGCAAAGTTGAAAAGTTAATACTAGGTGATTTCAAGTTTATTAGGAATCTACAGCATTCAGAAAAGTGTGGCACTGGCACAAAAGCAGAAAGATAAAACAATGAAGCAGAATTGCGATACTAGAAATAGGCCAACACATAAACTTATAATTGATTTTTTACAAAACCGAGAAGGCAATTAGTGGATAAAGTACAGTTCTTACACAAATGTTGTGGCAATAATTAGCTATAAGTGAGGAAAATTGAAGTTTCCTACAGAACTCACATCACTTATAATAATTAACTAAAAATTAATCATAGACTTAAACATAACATCTAAAGCAATCAACTAGAAAAAAGCAAATGATAAGATGTTGTATACTTGGGATAGAAAAGATTTCTCAGCTGTAACATCAAAAGCATGATTCATAAAATAATAATTTGATAATCTGACTTCATTGAAATGAAAATCTCTGCTTTTCAAAGACAATGTTAAGAGAAGCCCCACACTGAAGGAAAATATTTGCTAAGCATTGACAAATGAAGTATATTTCAAGATTCAAATAGAAAATAAATGCCCCAATTAAATAATGGCCAAAACATTTGAATAGATGTTTTAACAAATAAGTTTTATAGATTTCAAGCAAGCATATGAAGAGGTGCTCAATATTTTTAGGAATTAGGAAATCTTAAATTAAAGCAACAATTGAAATATCATGATACATCTGTTACATTGGTAAAAATTTAAAAGACTCATAATACCAAATATTTGTGATGTGCCTCAAATCCAGTTATTAAACACTGTGGGAGGAATACAAATTGGTACTGGTTAGTAATTCCTTAAAGAGTTAAATATGTATCCATTAATCTCTACCATTTAATATACCTATAAAAAGACTTGTGCATGAGTGTTCACAGAAGCTTTATTTGTAATAGCCACCCTCGGTAACAGTGTAAATATCCATTGACAGTTGAAAAAAATAAATTATGGCATAGCTATATAATGAATTACTTGGCAACAAGATAATATACTATTAAACCATACACATAACAATGGGGATGAATCTCAAAATGATTTTTGCTGAGTGAAAGAAGCTAGTTACAGAAGGCTAGATATCATATGACACCATTTATTATATAAACCTCTAGAAAATTAAGCCTATGTGATTGCATAAGCATGTGGACATGTGCTCAGCACCATTGGCATTAGGGAAATACATGTTTCATGTAACCTATAATGTAAAAAATCAGATGAGTGATTGCCAGCAGGTTAAGGGATAGTAGGGAAGGCTTATAAAGGTGCATAAAGAACCTTTTGGGGCTGCACACAGTGGATCACACATAAAATCTCAGCACTGTGGGAGGCAGAGGTGGGGGGATCACTTCAAGTCAGGAGTTTGAGACAAGCCTGGGGAACATAGCGAGACTTCATTTCTAAAGAACTAAAAAAATAAAAATCAAATACAAAGAGACTTTTGGGGTAATGCACATGTTTGCTTTTTTAAAAATTTGTTTTCATTTTCTTAATAAGTATAGGACTATTGAGATGATCTATTCCCCTTGTATGAGATTAGATACATTTTGCTTTTCAGGGAACTCCTTCATTTCATCTAAGCTATCACATTTGTGTGCATAAATGTTTTTTATTGTATTTTCATTGTTCATGGGATCTGTAATGATGGCCTCTCAGTTCGTATATTAGTAATTTGTGTCTTCTCCCTTTTTATTTTTCTTGATTAGCCTGGGTAGGGGTTTATTGATCATTTCGAAGAAGCAGCTTTAGGTTTTGTTGATTTTCTCTATTGGTTTCCTGTTTTCACTTTCATTGATTTCTGCTTTAAATTTTAGTATTTATTTTCTTCTGCTTACTTTGGACTTTAATTTTTAATTTTTGTGGGTATGTAGTAGGTATAAATATTTATGGGGTACATAAGACATTTTGATACAAGCATACAATGCATAATAATTACATCAGAGTAAATGAGATATCCATCACTTAAAACATGTATCTTTTCTTTATATTACCAACAATCCAATTATACTCTTTTAGTTATTTAAACATGTATCATAAATTATTTTTGACTGTAGTCACCCTGTTATGTGTTCAAGTACTAGATCTTATTCATTCTATCTAACTCTATTTTTCTACCCATTAGCCATCCTTACTACCCTCACCTCCCTCTACCCTTCCCAGCCACTAGTAACCATCATTCTACTCGCTATTTCCATGAGTTCAATTGTTCTAATTTTTAGCTTCCACAAATAAGTAAGAGATGACATGTGGAGTTTGTCTTTCTGTGCCTGGCTTATTTCACTTAACATAATGGCCTCCAGTTCCATCCATATTGTTGCAAATGACAAGATCTCATTCTTTTTTATGGCTGAATAGTACTCCATCACGTGCATGCACAATATTTTCTTTATCTATTCTTACACTGATGGACACTTAAGTTGCTTGCAAGTCAGTTATTGTGAATAGTGCTGCAATAAATATGGGAGTGCAGAGACCTCTTTAATATATTGATTTCCTTTCTTCGGGGCATATAGTTAGCAGTGGAATTGAAGTATCATACGGTAGTTCCATTTTTAGTTTTTTGGAGGAACCTCCAATCTGTTCTCCATAGCGGTTGTAATAATTTATATTCCCAACAGCGTATGAGGGTTCCCTTTTCTTCACACCTTCATCAACATTTGTTATTGTCTCTTTTGAAAAAAAATACATTTTAACTAGGGTGAGACAATATCTCACTGTAGTTTTGACTTGCATTTATCTGATGATCAAAGATGTTGAGCACTTTTATGTATATATGTGATATTTGTATGTCTTCTTTTGAGAAATGTTTGTTTTGATCTTCTGTCCATTTTGATGGAATTATTAGATTTTTTCCTATAGAATTGTTTGAATTCCTTATGTATTCTGATTATTAATCCCTTGTCAGATAGTTTGAAAATATATTTTTCCCATTCTGATGTTGTCTCTTCACTTTGTTGATTATTTCCTTTTCTGTGCAGAAGCTTTTTCACTTGATATAATCCCAATTGTCCATGTTTGCATTGTTTGCCTGTGCTTGTGGGATATTACCCAAGGAATCTTTGCCCAGATCAATGCCCTGGAGTGATTTCCCAATGTTTTCTTGTAGTAGTTTCACAGCTTGTGGTCTTAGATTGAAATATTTGATTCATTTTTGATTTGACTTTTGTATATGGTGAGACAAGTTGTCTAGTTTCATTCTTCTGTATACTGATATCCAGTCTTGCCAATTTATTGAAGAGACTGTCTTTTCCACAGTGTAAGTTTTTGGCACCTTTGTCAAAAACGAGTTCAGTGTAGGTGTGTGGATTTGTTTATGGGCTCTCTAATGTGCGTCATTGGTCTATGTGTTTTTATGCCAATACTAAGCTGATTTGGTGAATATATTCTGTAGTAAAATATAGACAGGTAATGTGATTTTTCCAGTTTTACTCTTTTTGCTCAGGATAGTTTTGGCTATCCTGGGTCATTTGTGTTTCCATGTATATTTCTGGATTATTTTATCTATTTCTATGAAGAATATCATTGGTGTTTTGACAAGGATTTCATTGAATCTGTAGGTTGCTTTGGGTAGTATAGGCATTATAACAATATTAATTATTTCAATCCATGAACATGGAATATTTTTCCTTTTTTGGTTTTCTCTTCGATTTATTTTATCAGTGTTTTATTTTTTCATTATAGAGATCTTTCACTTCTTTGGTTAAGTTAATTTCTAGGTATATTATTTTATTTTTAGGTATTAAAATGGGATTTTTTGATATCTTTTTTAGGTAGTTAACTGTTGAAAAATGGAAATGTGAAGTGTCTGTTCATGTGGCCAACAAATATGTGTAAAAAAGCTCATTGTCACTGGTCATTAGAGAAATGCAAATGAAAATCACAATGAGATACTATCTCATGCCAGTTAGAATGGCGATCATTAAAAAGTCAGGAAACAACAGATGCTGGAAAGGATGTGGAGAAATAGGAATGCTTTTATGCTGTTGGTGGGAGCATAAATTAGTTTAACCATTGTGGAAGAGAGTGTGATGATTCCTCAAGGATCTAGAAGCAGAAATACCATTTGACACAGCAACCCCATTACTGGGTATATACCCAAAGGATGATAAATCATTCTACTATAAAGACACATGCACACGTATGTTTATTGCAGCACTATTCACAATAGCAAAGACTGGGGACCAACACAAATGCCCATAAATGTTAGACTGGATAAATAAAATGTGGCACATATACAACACGGAATACTATGCAGCCATAAAAAAGGATGAGTTCATGTCATTTGCAGGGACGTGGATGAAACTGGAAACCATCATTCTCAGCAAACTAACACAGGAACAGAAAACCAAACGCCACATGTTCTCACTCATAAGTCGGTGTTGAAAAATGAGAACACATGGACACAGCAAGGGAAACATCACACATCAGGGCCTGTCAGGGAGTGGTGGGCTAGGGGAGCAATAGCAGTAGGAGAAATACCTAATGTAGATCACGGGTTGATGGGTGCAGCAAACCACCATGGCATGTGTATACCTATGTAACAAACCTGCACGTTCTGCACATGTATCTCAGAATTTAAAGTATAATAATAAAAGAAGATGAATGGAAATGTGAAAATGCTACCATTTGTATGTTGATTTTGTATCTTGCAACTTTGGTGAATTTATGAGTCCTAATAGATTTTTTGGTGGTGTCTTTATGTTTTTCCAAATATAAGATTATATCATCTGCAAACAAGGCTACTTTTCTTTCTTTCGAATTCGATGCCCTTTAGTTCCTTCTCTTATCTGATTATTATAGCTGCGACTTTCATTATTATGTTGAATAACAGTGGTGAAAGCAGGCATCCTTATCACTTTCCAGATCTTAAGGAAGGGCTTTTAGTTTTTCACCATTCAGTATGATACTAGCTGTGGGTCTTTCATATATGTTTTGCTTTGTTGAGGTATACCCAATGTTTTGAGAGTTTTTAATTATAAAGGGATGTTGAATTTTGTCAAATGTTATTTCAGCATCAACAAGAATGATCATATGTATTTGTCCTTCATTCTGTTGACATGATGTATTACATTGACTGATATGTATGTGTAGAAACCATCCTTGCATCTCTGGGATAAATTTCACTTGGTCAAGAAGAATGATCTTTCTTAATGTTTTGTTGAATTTGGTTTGCTACTATTTTTGCTAGGATTTTGTGTTAACGTTTATCAGTGATATTTGGTTGTATTTTTCTTTTTATGATGTGTCTTTGCCTGGTTTTGGTATTAGAGTAATACTGGCCTCATTGAGAGAATTTGGAAGCGTCTGCTTTTCTATATTTTGGCATAGTTTGAGTAGATTTGATTTGAGTTCTTTATATTTTTGGTAAAATTCAATGGTAGAGCCATTGGGTGTTGGGCTTTTCTTTGCTCAGAAACATTTTATTATGGCTCCAATCTCTTCACTTGTTATTGGTCTCTTCATGTTATGGATTTCTTTGTAGCTCAATCTTGGTCAGTTGTACGTTTGTTATAATTTATCCATTTCTTCTAGGTTTTCAAATTTATGGGCATATTGTTTCTCATAATTACCTCTAATGATCCTTTCAATTTCTGCTGTATCTGCTGTAATGTCCCCATTTTTATCTGATTTTATTTATTTGGATCTTGCCTTTTTTTTCTTAGTTTTGTTAAAGGCTTGTTGATTTTATTTATCTTTTCAAAAAGCCAACTTTTCATTTTGTTGCTTTTTTGTACATATCCTTCTTTTCAATTTCATTTATTTCTGCTCTAATCAGTATTATTACTTTTCTTCTACTAATTTTGTGTTTCACATGCTTTTGCTTTTCTAGTTCCTTTAAAAGAATCACTAGGGTGTATATTTAAATATTTTATATATTTTTGATATAGGTACTTCTTGATATAAACTTTTCTCTTGGTAATGCATTTGGTGTATCACATAGGTTTTCATATTTTGTACTTCCATTTTCACTTGTTTCAAAAAAAATTTTTAATTTTCTTCTAAATGTCTTCATTGACCACTGGTGATTCAGGAAGATATTGTTTAATTTCCATGTATTTGTGTAGTTTCAAAAATTCCTCATGTTATTAATTTCTAGATTTATTCCATGGTGTCAGAAAAGCCACAACATAATTCATTTTTTTTGAAATTTTTAAGACTTCTTTTGAGTCCTAATATATTATCTACCCTTAAGAATGATCTGTGTGCTAAGGAACAGAATGTGTATTCTCTGTATGTTGGGTAGAATGATTTACAAATATCTCAGGTCCATTTGACCTTCAGTGCAGATTAAGTCCAATATTTCTTCATTGATTTTCTGTCTGGATGGAGTTCCTAATGCTGAAAGTTGGGTGTTGAAGTCTCTAGGTGTTAGTTTATTTTATTTTATTGAACTCCATCTCTTTAACACTGGTAATATTTGCTTAATATATCTGGATGCTCCATTGTTGAGTATATATATTGTATATATGTAAACACACACATATATATATAATGTGTATATATACACACATAAATAATGTGTGTATATAATAAAAATATATACACACATAAATAATGTGTGTATATAATAAAAATATATACACACATATAATGTGTATACATATATCAAATAGCTCTTTAGCACTGGTAATATTTGCTTAATATATCTGGATGCTCCATTGTTGAGTGTAAATATATATTTATAAATAAATATATTTATAAATATATATATTATAAATAAATATTTATATATTTATATTTATAAATAAATATTTATATACTTATACTTATAAATATATATTTATATACTTATACTTATAAATATATATATTTATATATTTATATTTATAAATATATATTTATATATTTATATTTATAAATATATATTTATATACTTATATTTATAAATATATATTTATATATATTTATTTATATTTATTTATAAATATATTTATTTATAAATATATTTATTTATATTTATTTATAAATATATTTATTTATAAATATATTTATTTATATTTATTTATAAATATATTTATTTATAAATATATTTATTTATAAATATATTTATTTATTTATATATTTATATATAATAAATATATATTTATTTATATATTTATATTTATTTATATATTTATGTTTATTTATTTATAAATAGATATATAACAAATATGTATATATTTGCTGAATTCACCCCTTTATCTTTATATATTAAGTTTCTTTGTCTCTTCTTATAGTTTTTGTCTTGAAATCTATACTTTGTTTTGATATAAATATAGCTTATCACGATCCTTTGTTTCTGATTTTGATTCTCATAAAATATCTTTTTCCATTCCTTTATTTTCAGTCTATGTGTGTCTTTATAGTTGAGATTTGTTTCTCGTAGGCAGCAGATCAATGGTTCTTGTTTCTTTATCCATTTGGCCCCTCTATGTCTTTTGATTGGACAGACTAGTCCATTTACATTCAATATTATTACTAACAAGTAAGGACATACTCATTTTATTTGTTTTCTTGTTGTTTTGTGTTTTTCTCTTCCCTCTTTCCATCCTTCCTATCTTCCTGTTAGTGAAGGTGATTTTCTCTGGTGGTACGTTTTAATTTCTTTTTATTTTTTTGTGTCAATTGTATGCTTTTGATTTGAGGTTACGATGAGACTTGCAAATAATATCTTATAACCCATTATTTTAAATTTATGACAAATTAACATCAATTGCATAAACTAACAAATGAACTAGTAAAAATATCAAAGAGAAAGCTAATAAATCTCTACACTAACTTCCCCCCTCCATTTTTCCCTGTTTGTTATTTCTATTTATATTTTATTGTACTGATATATTGAAAAGTTGTTGTGGTTATTATTTTTTATCAGTTCATTGTTTTGTCTTTTTACGTAAGATATGAACAATTTGTACAACACAATTACAGTGTTATAATATTATTTGTTTTTCTGTGTATTTACTATTACCAGTGAGTTTTCTACCTTCAGATGATTTCTTAATGCTCATTAACATCCTTTTCTTTCATATGGAAGAACTTCTTTTGACATTTCTTGTAGGACAGGTGTGGTGTTGATGAAATCCCTCAGCATTCATTCATCTGAGAAGGTCTCTATTTCTCCTTCATGTTTTAAAGGTATTTTTGCTGGATATACTATTCTAAGGTAGAATTTTTTTTTTCTTTCAGCTTTAAATATATCATGCCACTATCTCTTGGCCTATAACATTTCCACTGAAAAGTCTGCTACCATACATATTGGAGCTCCATTGTATGTTATTTGTTTCTTTTCTATTGCTGCTTTTAAGATCCTTTCTTTCACCTTGATCTTTAGAAGTTTGATTATTAAATGTCTGGAGGTAGTTTATTTGGGTTAAATTTTCTTGGAGTTCATAACCTTCTTGTACTTGAATACTGATATCTTTCTCTAGGTTTGGGATGTTCTGTAATTAACCCTTTGAGTAAACTTTTTACATCTATATCTTTCTCTTTCCCCCTTCTTTAAGGTCAATAACTCTTAGATTTGCCCTAGATATTATAGGTGCACTTCATTCTTTTTTATTCCTTTTATTTGTCTCCTGTGACTGTGTATTTTCAAATATCCTGTCTTTAATCTCACTAATTTTTTTTTTTTTTTTGAGACGGAGTCTTGCTCTGTCCCCAGGCTGGAGTGCAGTGGTGCAATCGCAGCTCACTGCAAGCTCCACCTCCCTAGTTCACACCATTCTCCTGACTCAGCCTCCTGAGTAGTTGGGACTACAGGCACCTGCCACCATGCCTGGCTAATTTTTTGTAATTTTAGTAGAGACAGGGTTTCACTCTGTTAGCCAGGATGGTCTTGATCTTCTGACCTTGTGATCCGCCTGCCTCAGCCTCCCAAAAGCTCACTAATTTTTTTGTTCTGCTGATCAGTTCTGCTGTTAAGAGACTCTAATGCATTTTTTGGTATGTAATAGCATTTTTTGAAGTGCAGAATTTCTGTTTGATTCTTTTTAATTTCAAGCTCTTTGTTAAATGTATCTTACAGGATTCTGTATACCTTCTCTGTGTTATCTTAAATTTCACTGAGCTCTCTCAAAACAGCTAACTTGAATTCTCTGTCTAAAAGGTCACACTTCACTGTCTCTCCAGAATTGGTGCTGGTGCCTTTTTTAGATCCTTTGGTGAAGTCATGTTTTCCTGGATGGTTTTGATGCTTGTGAATGTACACTGGTGTCTGAGCATTGAAGTGTTAAGTACTTATTGTAGCCCTTGTAGTCTTTGCTTGTTTATACCCATCATTCATGGGAATGCTTTCCAGGTATTTGAAGTGACTTGGGTGTTATGATCCATGTTTTGGCCCCTGCAGCCATATTTGCATCAATGGGCACCCCAAACACAGTAACACTATAGATCTTGCAGACTCTTAGAGGTATTGACTTGGTGATCTTGAATAAGATCTAGAAGATTTCTCTGAGTTACCAAGCAGAGACACTTGTTTTCTTCCTTTACTTTCTCCCAGAGTCTCTCTCTCTCTCTCCTGAGTTCCCCGGAGCTGGGGGAGGGGTAAAACAAACATCCCTGTGGCTACCACCACTGGGACTGCCATGGGTTAGACCTGAAGCCAGTACTGTACTGAAACATGTCCAAGGCCCACAGTAACTACTGCCTGGCTACTACCTATGTTTACTCAAGACTCTATGGCTCTACCATCAGCAGGTGGCAAAGGAAGCCAGGCTTGTATCTTTCCCTTAAGGGCAATGAGTTCTCCCCAGTACTAGTCAGGCCCAGAGATGTTGTCTGGGAGCCAGGGTCTGGAGTCTGAAACCTTAGGAATCCACCCGGTGCTCTGTTCTACTGTGGCTGAGCTGGCACTCAAGCCACAAGACAAAGTTTTTCCCAGTTTTTCTTACCCTTTCCAAAAGCAGTTGAATCTCTTGCCATGGCCACCACTGCTCAGGCCTGTAACAAATACTGTCTGGCTATGATCAATGTTCACTCTAGGCCCAAGGGCTCTTCAGTCAGCTGGTGATGAATGCTGCTAGTCCTGAGTCTCTTCCTTCAGGAAGTGGGCTCCTCTTTGGCCCAGAATAAGTCAAGAAATGCCATCCACAACCAAGGTGTGGAATTGGGGACTCCAAGAGCCTGCTTGCTCCTTTATCCCACTGTTGCCAACCTGGTACATAAGCTCTAAGACAAAGTCCCCTGTACACATTCCTCCCCTTTTCTCAAGCCATAAGAGTCTTTCCCCATGAACACTAGTAGGAATGTGCTTGCTCATACTTGAGGCCAGCACAGCTCTGAGGCTCATCCAAGGCCTGCAGTGAATAGTGCTTGGCCACTGCTGCTGATTATGTATGGCCCAAGGACTCCTTAGTCAGTGGGTGCTGAATTCTGTCAAGACTGAGGCCTTCCTTCAGGGCAGTTTGTTCTCTTTTGGTCCAGGGTGTGTCTAAAAATGTCATCTGAAATCTAGGGTCTGGAATGGGGGCCTCAGGGCTCTGCTTGGTGCCCTATTCTACTGCAGCTGTGCTGGTATCAAAGTTCTAAGAAAAGGTCCCCTTTACTCTCCCTTCTCTTCTCCTCAAGTGGAAGGAAGGAGTCTCTCCTGGAGCTGCATGCTATGCTGCCTGGGATGGGGAAGGGAGTGACACAAGCAGTCCCTTTGTTACCCTGGCTGGTACCTCATTAGGTCACATGCATTCCAAGTGCACTGGCTCTGAGACTAGTACAGCATCAGGACTTGTCCAGGAATTGCAGTTCTTGCTATCTAGACTGCCTTTCAAGTGTATTTAGGGCCCCAGAACAATTCAGCTTGTGGTTGCGGGCCTTGCTGGAACTCAAGCTCCTAGTGTTGCGACGGATGATTCCCCTCTGGCTAGAGCTGGTCTAAATTCTCCCTCCGTGGGTGCCATCTGGGTTCTGCCTGGTGTATCTTTCTGCTGTGGCAGGGCAGCACAGAATTCCAACGCAAAATCCCACAACCACTCCAATTTCCCTCCTCAAAGTGCACAGATTTTCTCTCTGTGTATGTGGCCATTGCCAGGGGAAGGGGGAAAGGCAGTGTCAGTAATAAAAGAGAGGCTTTTTTTTTTTTCTTTTTCAAGATAGAGTCTCGCTCAGTCAACGAGGCTGGAGTGCAGTGGTGCCATCTAGGCTCACTGCAACCTCCGCATCCTGGGTTCAAGCCATTCTCCTGCCTCAGCGTCCTGGGTAGCAGAGACTATAGGCACATGCCACCGTGCCTGGCTAAATTTTGTACTTTTAGAGGAGGCAGGGTTTTTCTACCCTCTGCAGTGTCTCTTTCAGTGATATGAAATTAAAACCAGGTACTGTGGTTGCTAACCTAATTTTTAGTCCTTATGAATGTGTTTTTTCTGTGGATAGCTGTTCAGTTTGCTGCTCTTGCAAGGAGGATGATTGGTGGAGCCTTTTATTTGGCCATCTTGCTCTGCATTCAATCCTGTTCATTATCTTGATTGTCATGGTGGTTTCATGTATATATATATATATATATATATATATATATGTCAAAACTTATGAAACTGTCCACTTTAAAAATGTGCAATGTATTGTATGTCAATTAAACCTCAATAAGATAGTAAAAATAACAACCTAAAATACCACAAATATGTTATGTCTCACCTAGTAAACGGACAAAATTCTGAAATATGACAGCATGTACTTTTGACACTGGGGAAACAGGCACTCTTTTCATTGCTCATGAGAATGTAATATGACACAATCTTTCTGGAGGGGAATTCGACAATATCTAACCAGTCTATAAATACACTTAACTTTTGCCCTAACAATATGAAAACACATATGTACCATGTCATGCTTTTGATAGTGGCTAATGCTACTCCCTCTGCCTGGAGTGTTCATCTGTCTTAGTTAATTTTGATTACTATAACAAAGCACTTCAAACTGGAGTCTATAAACAACAAAAACATATTTCTCACAGTTTTGGAAGCTGGGAAGTCCAAGACCTAAGTGACAGCAGTTTCAGTGTCTGGTGAGGATTCTCTGATTCACAGGTGATGCTTTAAAAGAAAATTTTTTTCTTTTTTAATTTATTTTATTTTTACTTTTTATTTCCATAGGTTTTTGGTGGAACAGGTGGTGTTTGGTTACATAAATAAATTCTTTAATGGTGATTTCTGACATTTTGGTGCACCCATCACCCAAGCAGTATACACTGTACCCAATCTGTAGTCTTTTATCCCTCACCCCTCTCCCACCCTTTCCCTGGAGTCCCCAAAGCCCATTGTATCTTTCTTATGTCTTTGCATTCCCATAACTTAGCCCCCACTTATGAATGAGAACATGCAATGTTTGGTTTTCCATTCCTGAGTTACTTCACTTAGAATAATGGTCTCCAATTCCATTCAGGTCACTATGAATGCTATTATTTTTAGAACAGACATTTATTTCTCACAGTTCTGGAGGCTAGACTTGCAAAATCAGGGTGTTAGAACTGTCGGGTCCTGGCAAGGGCCCTTTTCCCAAGTTGTGGACTTCTCACATTGTGGAAAGAGAAGATGAGAGAGATCTCTGGGGTCCTTTTATAAGGACACTAATCCCATTCACGAAGCCTCCACTCCCATGATGTAATCACTTCCCAAAGGTCCCACCTCCAAATGCCATCACATTGGTGGTTAGGATTTCAAAATAGGAACTTGGGGGGAATAAACATTCAGCCCCTAACAAGGAAGAGAGAGAAAATGGAAGATTGTGTGGGACAATTTCTGGCCAGACCTAGAAGTGCATTCAATGTTTTTGCCTACATTTCTTTGACCAGAACTCTGCCCCATTGTTCCACCCTAGTGGCGTGAACAACTGGGAAATGTGTTCCCAGCAGGAGAATGCATTGGCAAACCACAGCATTATCTCTACCATGTGGACTTTTTCTGGATCCTGATAATGTTTTAAGCAGTAAGAGTAGAATATGACTATTATTTTAGGTCTCTAGTCTATTTTGTTACCTTTTACCATATAAAGTGACAACCTCAATACCTAAATTTAGTATTTGCTTTGTATTGTTATGTAACAAATTATCACAGATATACACCACCACCCAATTATTATCTCATAGTTCTGTAAGTGAGAAGACTGGCATGGCATGGCTCTATTCCCTGCTCAGAGTCTAATAAGCCAAAATCAAGGTATTGGAAGATATGCATGCTTTTTCTGGAGGATCTGGGGAGGAATTCATACCCAAGCTCATTCAGCTTATTGTACGATTCTGTTCCTTGCCGCTGAACCTGGGACTGGTGTTCCGAATTATTTGGCTTGTGGTTCTTTCCATCTTCAAGCCAGCAATGTTGCATGAAACCCCTCTCATCCCCCAGTGCTTCCATCCCCTCTTCACCCACCGAGCCAGTGGTGAGAGAGAGTAGCCCACTCTTCCACACACATCTGTAATCAGATAGAGGAGCAAAACTGGTAACATCTGGTACTTCAGACTGCAATTGGAAGAGGCTAGAGTTCTCTTGGGACCTTGACAGATTTGGAAAATGAGTAAAAAGAGAAGGAAGGCTATCCCTGTGGGATACTCCTCTTGTAGCAGGCAGAATTTTGGTCCTAATAACATTTGCCCCCTGGTGTTACAACCTATGAATATGTTACCTTTCATGGTGAAAAGGACTTTGCATATGTAATTAAGGTTATGACTCAGTTAAACCTTAAGGCAGGAAGATTTTTCTGGAGTACTTGGGTGGGCCCAAGGTAACTATCTGAGCCCTTAAAAGCAGAAAACAAAGGCAGAGAGATTCGAAGGTGATAGTTTTTTACTGTGTCCTCACATGGTGGAAAGGCAAAAGGGCTCCCCAGTGACTCTTTGATAAGGGCATCAATCCCATTTATGACAGCAGAGTCCTCATGATCTCATAGCTCCCCAAAGGCTGTCTCTATTAATGCCATAAACTTGTGGGTTAGCTTTCAACAGACACATTTCCATAAACATTTAGATCATAGCAGGAAAGATAAAGCATAAATTAAGGAAGTTATTTCCTATATATAGTAGGTTGAGAAGGTGAATAGAAAATGAAAACAGACATGTGGTATCCAAGATGAGAAGTAGTGACACATCTATGAGTACGTCTTTGTATATCTCTGAGCTTCCAAAATATTGCATTATTTCACATAAACATTAAATTCCTAAAATATAAATTATTAAAACCAAAAAAGTGAATAAAAAATAAAATGTAATATAAACAATAACGAATAAATAATATAGCCACACTTAACGGCATTGAGGGAAAAAATAACCTAAGCAACTTTTGTAAACCATGTTTTGACTTAATACTGACAGCCTACAAATAAAAATATACATACATGTTGCACTCTAATCAGTAAATATGTTTTCCACAGGGCCATAAATTAGCAACTACAAAATCATTTTGTGTGCATGCTGAAATTGAAAAAGTACATTTGTAATGTGTGATAAAAATTGAAATTTTTACTATTAGAATAAAATTACAAATAAAGACAGGAGGTCCAAATGAATAAATCGCACCCTGTAGTGTTGGATTGGAATAAAGAGATTAGCATAACTCATGGATACCACAGCTAGATATTTGTGTGTATTTAATGAGCTAGTATATATGGGTATCTATCTCTCTATCAACATATAATTATGTGTTATATACAAAGCATATGTGTATACATGTTTCCTAACTCTGTCCACTGAGAGGGATTAAAGAGGTAACACTCTAGATAGTAATGAGCATACCCACCCTATGGATCTTGATTTGTAAATATCATTCCCAATAAAAGATACCAGAGCTCTTTGGTTAATCTCTTGATCTCAGTCTTAGAGCAAGGAGAATAGAAAGTGAGCCTGGGACAACTTGTGGTGCCAACAAGTGAGGATATGCTCAAAATAAAAGATAGAGATTTGTTTAAAGAACAAAGGAGGAAACCTGATGGGGTTCCTAATGCCTACAATTTGAACAATTTAGCTAGCAACATAAACATTGATAGTACTGGATTTTAACCCACAGGTTAAAATAAACATCCAGAAGTCCATATTGATATACATAAAGAACAAAATACACATATAAAAATTAACCAATGAGGCAACAAGAATAGCTAATCCATATAATAGAATTCCAATTAATAAATGTATTAAGAAAGAAGGAAGTGGGAAGCTCCATTAGGCAACTCCATTAATAATAACAGTTGAAGACAAGATCCATTAATGGATGTTAAAATTAGTAAGTGAAAGCTTGAAAGGAAACAGAATTTCTGTTTTAAATTAACTCCTCCAAGGTATCTATTAACATGAAGGAGAAATATAGTGCAGTGGAGAAACACAGTGGTTAATCACCTAAACCAAATAGAGTCTAACATTACAGGTAATAACAAATATTGACAAAATAAACCCCAGGATGTCATTTACTGAGAACACATAATTGATGGGGTTTCTTGCAAATAATGCATAACGTCAACACAAATATGTAAAAAATCAAACAAGTATTGAGGAATATACAATAACTGGTCAATACTTTTCAGAAGAGTCAAGGTCATGAAAAACAAGGAAAGATTGAAGAATATTGGGAATGGTTACAAACTACAGGAGACAAGAAAAATAACAGATAAGTGCAATGTACAATCATGGATATGTTCCTGGAACAGAAAAAAAAGATATTAGTGTAAATATTATGGAGAAGTAGTTTCTTAATAGCATTTTACCAATGTTAATTTACTAGTTCTGATCATTGTACCATTGTTAAGTAAGATTCTACCATTAAAGGGAGTGGGGTGAGGTGCATACAGAAACTCTTTACTATTTTTTTAATAATCTGAAATCTAAAATTAGGTCAAAATAAAAATTAAAAGATAATGATGTGTAAAAAATAATTTGAGGAATGTTAAAGACCAGAGTGCATTTTGTCTGAGCCATTCTCAGTTCCTGTACTACATATGTAGAACCCATAAACCCTTATAGTCTTCAAGGAGAAATATTGTAGCAAACTTAGCTGAGGGGAGCAGTCCTGCCATGTGGCCTGCTTTGATAACAAAAGGGACTTCAGAGTTTGAATTATGGATAAAGGACAAGGCAGAAACTTCAGAGGTTCTATAGTGCCAGGGAGAACCCTTGTAAAGTCTTATCAGTTGTGAAGCTCTATTAGTACAGCGAGAGATACTAGCATAGATTACAACTGCTGAGGCCCCAGCTGCAAGCACTGGTAGAGAGACAAAGGTAGTCATGCAGAATGGTGATGCTGTCCAGACTGTCTGAACTAGAGCTCCTGTAAGAACTGAAGACCACGTTTCCTTTGCTACTGCCATGAAGAAACAATAGTTCACACTCTTCCCTCACATTTCTAGATTTCATCTTTAGAAGAACAGGAATGAAGATTTCAAAGATTATGTGTTTTTACCAGAAATGTTCATCTACAGGAACTCTTTCATGTATTGCATGGGACTGAGTTTACCAAATTTGGAAAACACACACAGACATACAGATACATTTGCACACACACACTGCAAAACAACAGCAACGTCAGCAATGGAAACACAAAAATGTCCCATTCTTACCCTCCACCACTGAGTGGATGCTCATGAGGGAGATCAGGAGGCTAACTACAGCAATTGATATTCCCTCTGAAATACGTTATGAGTAATAACTGTGGCCTCTCTATTCTTATGAAATAATGTTCAACCTAAGTGTGATGAGGGGAAATGTAAATTAGATGACATTTAGGTAACATAATTTTTACCATAAGATTATGACAATTTAAAAAATAATCACTTTCGATGATGATCGTAGAGGGAAACAGCAACCTCATTTCTGAGTGTAAATTGCTACAAACTTTCTGGAAAGTGATCAGGTAAAAAAAAAAATGTTAACTATCCTTAATACTCTTTGACCTGGATATTCTACTTTTGGAAATCTCTGTAGCACCAGTGTCTGAAGATATATACACACAAAAATATTTACTTCTGCATTAATATGTATTGACAAAGCTTGAAAGCAACTAGTCTATTAACAAGAAAATGGTAGTACAAATTCTTGCAAAATGTGTTCTTTGAAAATTATCGTAGTCATTACAAAGAATGAGCCAGATGTGCATAATGATAATCATGTCATACATTTTAGGCATGGAAAAAAGAAAGTTTAGATTAAAAATTAGAAAATTTCTAAGTAGTTGGTATGGGTAAATGCAAATTTAAAGGGACAAAAATAAACTGAAATAAAAACATTAAATTAGACAAGTTTAAATATATAGAAACATTTTTTAAAAAGGAAAACTCGTTGGTGGCTATAATGAGAAAAATTATGTGTCTAGAAAAAATATATACTAAATGCAATGTTAGGATTCTTTATTAAATTTAAAGTTTATCCTTATATTAAAGTTAAACTTTAATATAATATTTTGCTACTCTTTGCAGGCCTGTTTTAAAATTTTGTTTGTTTTGGTTGTGTTCTGTGATTTGCATTTGAGCTATTGGTTCAAACACAGGCTGTCAAAAATAATGGCAACTAATGTAAATAAGTGACAATTTGTGATAAAAAAAATCAGGTAATTTACCGCCAAAGTGAATTAATTTAGGAAATGATTGTTTGTTTTGCTGATAGGTACATTACCTGCATGGAAAATATGCTCTTTATAGTCTATGGAAATGTCACTATATTTATGATGTTTCAATATTTTTTAATTAATTAATTTTTTTTTTTTTGAGATGGAGTCTCGCTCTATTGCCCAGGCTGGAGTGCAGTGGTGCGATCTCGGCTGCACTGTAAGCTCCGCCTCCCGGGTTCATGCCATTCTCCTGCCTCAGCCTCCCGAGTAGCTGGGACTACAGGTGCATGCCACCATGCCAGGCTAATTTTTTTGTATTTTTAGTAGAGACGGGGTTTCACCATGTTAGCCAGTATGGTCTCAATCTCCTGACCTCGGGATCCACCTGCCACAGCCTCCCAAAGTGCTGAGATTACAGGCATGAGCCACCGTGCCCAGCCTTATTTTTCTTTTAGAAAGAAGTCAGCCCTTTAAAAAATCACCAAGAATAAAAGGAAAATGTAGACTATTTTTGAAGAAATAAATTTACATGTCCTCTCTCAGATATTTTTACATCTTTTTTTACAAATAGGTTTAAGTAATTTTGTTGAGAAACAAAAAATTCAAATACGTATTTTCCCACTTCCTTTTCTTTCCATTTGAATCTATTCTTGATTTGTTAATGGAACTAGAAATCAGACAACATTATTCAAGCTTTAAAATAAAAAAATATAGTAATAAGACAATTGAAATTAAAAAATAAAAAAAAGAATTGATTCCATAGCAGTCAGTATTTTACAGCTTTGTGTATATAGATGTGTTACACTGGACATTTAAAAAAATCATGAATTCATTAAATGAGGATTCATCTAAATTCATGTTTTAAATTTCTACAACTTGCTACCAGACATTGTCATAATGAATTCACCCTGAAACACACCATCACCCTCACGTTTATCACAAATTAACAGAAATAGACAAACATTAGTGAGGCAAATCATGTTATTGAACTGGTGGTTTACAGAGAGCAGTATCATAATGATGGCACACAGGCCAGATCTGTCAGGAGGGAAATGACAATATAATTAGATTCTATGCCTCACAGGAGAATCTAGAAAGTGTCCACAGGATAGTCATTTTTTTTTTCATTTTCTCTTCTGCCAGATAATAAAAAGAGACTCTTAAAGAAGGAATATGTCAGATATACAAGTTTTTTTTTAAGTTTTGTTTTTTACAATATTTACATCTGGTTATTGCATGGCCTGTACTATTTAAATGCAAATTTGATATGCACATCCATTTGGTGTGCAAATCCAGAATTTGAAAGCATGAATTCTAAGCAGAGTGAAACCACAAACATTAATCTTCTGGTTTACCATCCCTCTAAATTTCCTTGACAATGATTATGGTCAAAATATTTGGTTCATACAAACATTGCTCCTAAAATTAATATAATAGTGTCTTATTGAAAAATTAAAAATATTGTGCCTGATTTTAGAAAGGGCATGTCAAATCCCTACGTGAATAGATGCTGTACTTCTGGTTGAGAAGAAAATGAAATCAATTAGACATTCTGAAGTTTCATAAAAACATGAAGATTGCAACAGAATTTTGGACCTTATGTCTTTATACTGCATGGAGACTTTTAGTCTTTTATCTTCTCACTTGTATTCATTTTACACAATTCTATTTCTTTCTAACTACAATCTGCAGTGATAAATGGACATAGAACAGTTGTAACTGTTCTTTTATAATGAGATTTCTGAATTAACTTTGCCATCTACATCTTTAAAATTGTACCAGATGACACAAGAGAACTATTTTAAATCCTTTGATCTTCTACATTTGAAATGAACACCTTAAGGAATATAACAAATTAATATCAAAATGAATGTTGCAGCTATGAAGAGTATATGTTTATTTAGGCAGGCATATATAACGAATGTTCTGATCATATTTATATTAGTAGGTTGAATTTAAACTTATATTCATGGAAATCTTGACACTTCTGTCAATATGAAATGAGGTAAGTGAATTTAAACATATTTTAATCTCTTCACAATCACATTTTTTATTATAAAATAATGTAGAAAGTTAAATTTATTAAAAAGGGAGAAAATTTTAAATCAGTTTACTTTTGTCAGTTCTCTCTTCAAGCAATTGATTTGTTATACTTTTACTATAAAGGCCAAGATTAAACAAATTATATAATTTATTATAAAAGATACAGCTGTTTAGAAATGTATGTACTAAATAAATATGAAAGTATTTACTAGACTTTTTATAAAAATTAATATTTAAATAAGGTAGATCAAATTAGTGAATTATTTAAAATGACTTTATTTTCTAAAAAGAGACATATATGCATATAAGTGTATGTGTATACTTCTTTTAATGAAGTGGATAGCATATACATACTGGTTATTGGTAATTATAAAATAATGCAATGATAATAACATAACTGTTTATTGGGTTAATACCATATGGAAGGAAGTGGGTATTGTTGAATCTAATCCTAATAATAATTATGCATGTAAGTTGAGTATTTTTACCTCCATTTTGCAGTTAAGAAAAATACATCCCAAGATGTTAACTCACTAGTCCAAAAGGATACTTAGGCAAACAATTGAACAATTGTCACCAGGAACTAAAGCCATGTTCTACTCTGTTTCCAGGACCCATGTGTTTTCTACTAAATCACACTAGTCAAAGTGAGGGTTTTAATATGAAATCTCTTAAAGCAGACCTTTGGTTATAAATACATAAAAGTTAGAATAATTGTATTTACATTAAATAGTTGTTTAAAGATTAAACACAGTGACAAATAAAATCCCTAGCACATATTAGGGAATATGCGTATTATGAAGAGAGAAAGAATATGTATACACCCTCTCTCTCTGTATATATGTATGTATGTATGTACATATGTGTATGTACATACATGTGTGTATATATACACTTATATGTATGAGAGAGAGGGAAGCATTTTTTAGATTGAGTTCAATAAAAATTTACAAATATTCTATTTAATTACATTTTCTGCAAATATAGGTAAGTGGAGAGCTCATATAATCTCTGTTCAGAAAGCACTTAACAATATTCCAGGTATTCTGTATTTTTTTTCCTCTTAACTGGAGCTTTCATAGTTTTATTTGCAACAGGGTGGAATTTTTTACATAACATGTTATTTTATGACCCATTTTGGAGGCTCCCCAAAAAGAACTACAGACATGTCTGCTAAATAAAACAGCTTTTATTATTAAATTGGGACATAAAATTTCAGAACAATGACATTGTAAGGAGACTGATATACTTAAAAATTTAACTTTTTCCTCTTGTAATGACTACAATTCATTATTCCAGTTTGGTTATGTTTTGTTAAGTGATTATTCTTTCTAAGCCCTTAGGAAAACCTTAGTCATAATTTGAACATAATTTTTTCTCTTCTACCTACATTTTATGATTTTATTTTCCTTATGTAAATGTATGATTTCCTAATGCTTCTTCAACTTGAATTTTAAATAACATGAGTGAATGGCACAATTTCTTATTTTGAATTTTGAATACAATATAGAGAAAACATCTGAGTCAGTAAATATGTATGTATTAACTTTTTACATCTTGGATCTTTTCATAATTATTGTAAGCATCCTATAACATGAATTATTGAAGACAGTGTATAGGTTTATTAAAGTAGTACTGTTAATAACGTATCTATTTAGTGGATAAAGTAAATGCACCTTATGGGTGGTCACAAACAAATTTGTATTTTTACCTCCATTTTGTACTGTTTTACCTCCATTTATGTAATGTTTTTCTCTGATTATTTATATACAATATGCCAGCTTTGATCTACACTACTTTTCTGTTTCAGCAAGTTAGATTATTGCTAAATTCAAGGCAGTAGGCTAAATTTAATATTTAAATTTCTATGCACTGTATTGGAAGGCAAATACTTTAATATCAAAATTTTACCATATTATTACATGAGTTCAAATTATATTAATCATTTAAACCAATGCGTCAGAAGGAACATAAATCAAATGTAGAACTGATAACTAATTTTTATGCTAGTAACTATATTGGCTGTTTTGACTCTGCTGAAAGATAAGACTCAGCAGATACAACTCATAAAGTCATATTTCAGCCATGGAATTTCTTATTTTGCTATGTTATAATTTATTATATTCAGTAACAAGATGTTTTATTTAAGGTTTAGATAAATTACTGGAATTGTATAGATCACTCTGGAAACAGAATTATATCTTAATATTTATTTAAAATTATTTATTTGAAAATAATAATACACAAGTTAATTATAAAAACACAAATATGTACATGCTCTGCCAAGTAAGATTATAAATTTTACTTTTTGGTAAAATATTCTATTGTCAGATAACTTTTTTATTTTATTTTATTTTATTTTTTTATTTTTTATTTTTTTACAATTTCTTTTTTTATTTTATTTTATTATTATTATACTTTAAGTTTTAGGGTACATGTGCACAATGTGCAGGTTAGTTACATATGTATACATGTGCCATGCTGGCTCTGGTGTGCTGCACCCATTAACTCGTCATTTAGCATTAGGTATATCTCCTAATGCTATCCCTCCCCCCTCCCCCCACCCCACAACAGTCCTCAGAGTGTGATGTTCCCCTTCCTGTGTCCATGTGTTCTCATTGTTCAATTCCCACCTATGAGTGAGAACATGCGGTGTTTGGCTTTTTGTCCTTGCGATAGTTTACTGAGAATGATGATTTCCAATTTCATCCATGTTCCTACAAAGGACATGAACTCATCATTTTTTATGGCTGCATAGTATTCCATGGTGTATATGTGCCACATTTTCTTAATCCAGTCTATCATTGTTGGACATTTGGGTTGGTTCCAAGTCTTTGCTATTGTGAATAGTGCCGCAATAAACATACATGTGCATGTGTCTTTATAGCAGCATGATTTATAGTCCTTTGGGTATATACCCAGTAATGGGATGGCTGGGTCAAATGGTATTTCTAGTTCTAGATCCCTGAGGAATCACCACACTGACTTCCACAATGGTTGAACTAGTTTACAATCCCAGCAACAGTGTAAAAGTGTTCCTATTTCTCCACATCCTCTCCAGCACCTGTTGTTTCCTGACTTTTTAATGAGTGCCATTCTAACTGCTGTGAGATGGTATCTCATTGTGGTTTTGATTTGCATTTCGATGATGGCCAGTGATGGTGAGCATTTTTTCATGTGTCTTTTGGCTGCATAAATGTCTTCTTTTGAGAAGTTTCTGTTCATGTCCTTTCCCCACTTTTTGATGGGGTTGTTTGTTTTTTTCTTGTAGATTTGTTTGAGTTCATGGCAGATTCTGGATATTAGCCCTTTGTCAGATGAGTAGGTTGCAAAAATTTTCTCCCATTTTATAGGTTGCCTGTTCACTCTGATGGTAGTTTCTTTTGCTGTGCAGAAGCTCTTTAGTTTAATTAGATCCCATTTGTCAATTTTGGCTTTTGTTGCCATTGCTTTTGGTGTTTTAGACATGAAGTCTTTGCCCATGCCTATGTCCTGAATGGTAATGCCTAGGTTTTCTTCTAGGGTTTTTATGGTTTTAGGTCTAACGTTTAAGTGTTTAATCCATCTTGAATTAATTTTTGTATAAGGTGTAAGGAAGGGATCCAGTTTCAGCTTTCTACATATGGCTATCCAGTTTTCCCAGCACCATTTATTTAATAGGGAATCCTTTCCCCATTGCTTGTTTTTCTCAGGTTTGTCAAAGATCAGTTAGTTGTAGATATGCGGTGTTATTTCTGAGAGCTCTGTTCTGTTCCATTGATCTATATCTCTGTTTTGGTAAGAGTACCATGCTGTTTTGGTTACAGTAGCCTTGTAGTATAGTTTGAAGTCAGGTAGCATGATGCCGCCAGCTTTGTTCTTTTGGCTTAGGATTGACTTCGTGATGCGAGTTCTTTTTTGGTTCCATGTGAACTTTAAAGTAGTTTTTTCCAATTCTGTGAAGAAAGTCACTTGTTAATTGCAGGAAAAATTAAGGCTAAAATATAGAAAAACACTTAAAGATTTTTAAATTATCAATTAATGTCCAGGTGTTTGGGAAAAATAAAATAAATTACTATTTTGCTTACATTATAGGGGAAAAATATTTTCCTGATTTAAGTTCCTGTGTTTATAATGAATATGAGATAGTAAGATGATATTCATAGAATGAAAACAGGTTTTCTTTGTATCCTTTTGTTCCTTTCCAAGATATCTGTGGAATACTGTTATATATTAGCCTACATAATTTCCTATAAATTTCAGTTTCACACATTACAATTTTGTTAACTCTGCAAACTTCCATAATTACATATATCTGGATTCATGCATATAGAACCAAATTATATATACATTTGTTTATACATGTAATTATATATAAATAGTTTACATGCATATATAATTCGTATATACACCTGTAAATAAATTATATAAATAAATATTTATAAATTATATATATATATATTTTTTCCTAGTCACCTTTGTGAGGAAAGGGTAGGGGCTTTACTAAGAAATTTGTAAATATTATGTTAAATGCAGAAATTGACTTACGATATATATAATATATATATTATATATATGAAAAGAGAGAGACAGATTCTTTTAATGCACATTTTAATACTTATACCACATTTGATATTTGGAACATTTCATAATCTAAAGTGGTAATCAATGTCAAATCCATATTATTATCTCCACTTTACAGGAGACAATATGAAAATATGAAGCAGAAATAATAAGAGAGAATCAATTAAAAGGTAAAGTATGTCACACCCTATCTCTATCTCTTCAATCACTTTTGAATATCCACATACTCAGGCACTAAAGTGAATCATACAGAATGATTTATTGTTTGAAAGAAAAAAAAAAGCAAACCTCTTGACTTGGTTGCTCTAAACATTTGTGTAAATAGTTTTATTTAATTTCAGTCCTTACATGACCATTTATTTGAGGAAATTTTCTTCTTTCCTGAATGATTCTACTTATTGTCTGTATCATTTATTTGGCAATTCAAATGCCATAGAACATTGGAATATAAAAAAGTAACAACGGTTTTGCAATTCTGACAATGTGACATAAATTGTGTGACCTTGGATATGTCACTACACTTCCTGAACCTAGTTCACAGGGTACAGTGTTCTTCCTTTTTCAAGGTTTCACTTTCCACAGTGTCAATAACCTGTGGTCAATGCAGTCCAAAAATATTGAATTAAATTTCCAAAAATAAACAATTCATAATTTTAAATTACACGCCATGCTGAATAGTGTGATGAAATTTCACTCTATGCTGCTTTATATCACCCAGGATATGAATAATCCCTTTGTCCACTTTATACATTTGTTTATACTACCCACTCACTGGGCATCAACATCATCTCTTTCTGACATCCAACCATAGTCATCGTTATGGCCAGATGATCCCGGATCACCCAGAGCCAATGATCCCCCTTCTGACATATTTTCAGAAGGTCAGTAATTGCCTAACATTACAATACTTACATCATGAACCTCATTTCAACTCACTGTGTACGTATTATATCATCTCACATTATCACAAGTAAGATGTGTACAGTACAGTAAGATATTCTCAGACAAAAAGAGAGAGACTGCATCCACATAACTTTTTTACAGCATATTGCTCTACTTCTATTTTATTGTTGTCATTAATCTCTTACTGTATCTAATTTATGAATTAAATATTATAGTATGCAAAGAAAAAAACCATAGTACAGTCATTCCCATCCCATGTCCAGGATTCTCCACAATACCAAAATCTGCAGATGCTCAAGTCTCTTACACAAAATGGCATAGTATTTGAATATAACCTACACACATCCTCCCATATACTTTAAATCATCTCTAAATTACTTATAAACCTAATATAATGTTATGTAAATAACTGTTATACTGTATTTTAAAATTTGTATTATTTTATTGTTTTATTACCTTTTTTTCCAAATATTTTCAGTCCATGGTTGCTTGAATTGATGGGTATGGAACTCATGGATACAAAAGCCAACTTTATATAGAGCGTTAGCTACTACATAGTTTCGTGCATCCACTAGAGGTCTTGAAACACATTCCCTGAGGATAAGGAGGACTACCGTATTTGTAGACATAAAGAGACCTAAGTTGCTGCAAAGCAGCCTAGTAAAGTGAGAGGGAACAGAGACAGAGGGTGTTAATTAAGAGGATGGCTTCTGGAGTTAGGAAGTTAAATTTGAATCTACCACTTTGCTTGTGAGGTTAATGTGTTATATCAGTGTTTTCAATTATTGTTAATTTTATTGCCATGACATAAATCTTAAATAATGATTATCATATTGTTCACTTTTAAAATATGTTTTTGTGGCTGGGTGCAGTGCCTCACATCTGTAATCACAGCAGTTTGGGAGGCCAAGGTGGGCAGATCTCTTGAGCCCAGGAGTTCGAGAGCAGCCTGGGCAATGTGGCAAAATCCTGTCTCTACAAGAAACTATTAAAAATTATCCTGGAATGATGGCACATGCTTGTAGTCCCAGCTATCTGAGAGGTTGAGGTGGGGGGATCCTTTGAACCTGAGAAGTGGAGGCTACAGTGAGCCGTGACCGTGCCACTGCACTGCAGCCTGGGTGAGACAGTGAGACCCTGTCTCAAAAAATACAATACAATACAATACAATACAATACAATACAATACAATACAATACAATACAATACAATACATAGACTCATTTAAATTCTGTACACTTATCAAGTTTGATTAAATTATAAACTAAAATGTATCCAAAAACTGTGTATAGCATGTGGCTTCCATAACATATTTCTAGATGGGAGATGAGATCTGTCTGAAAACTGGAAATACTTGGTGATATAAATGATTCCAGTTAAAATTCATTTTTTAAATTTGGCAAATATAAAATTATACTCAGTGAGAAAATAATTAAAACAAAGAACCAAGTTGCTTGATTTTTAACAGAGGCAGCCCAGAATATGGTGGCTCAAGAAAGATGATTATTTCTCTTCCATCTAGTGCTTTAGAGGTGAAAGGCTCCATCCACGTTAATGATCCACGAGATCACCTAAGAATCTGGTTTATTCTATATCGTCACTCTACAGACCCCTAAATGTTTTCCCTGCTCACATACTTGAGGCTGGCTCACTGGTACCACCTTCTTATTCTGGGTGAAGCGCAGGCATTTTCCCTGTTAAAGCATATGGCTCAGAATTTGCATACATTCCTTTAGATTGCATGTCACTAGTTGGAACTTGGAATCACATCCATCCCTAGCTGAAAAGAAACTGTGTTTTCTAGCCTGTCTATGTTCCAGCTTTAAAGAAAGGTGAGAATGGATGCTGAAGGACAATTTGCTTTGTTACAACTCAGTTAATATTTCTAGAAACATTAAAATGATGACTCCTAATTCAAATTAATGTCTGAGTCTGAATTTCAGATAGCATAAACTGAAGAGGGAAGTGAGGATACAATAGAGATAGGGAGGTAGTATTACCAATAGTTAGGTATATTTACCATTTTTGTCATCTTTTTGAAATATTTTCATAAATTATTTATCCCCTCATGAACCGATATTTTATCTATAGACAGTTTTTTCACTGCTCTTGCTGCAAAAGTGGGCTGTAGGGTTCCAAAGCGTGTGCAGAGAAATAGTTTGGTGGAGACCTTTGGTGAACATCTTATTTTCATATTTCTTCTGGCTTCAAAGAACAAAATCTATCCAAGCTCCCTCAATGGAATGAGAATCGTTAGGGATGTAGCAAGCTCACAGGCATCAAGACCACTGGGGTCTCACGGGAGCATTGTGGTTTGATGTGAGAAGGTGCTAGAAAGTATTTTCTTCTCTTCTCTGTATGTATGCTTCTTTCTTCTTAGTCAAAATTTTTTTTTAACTGTGCTGCATCTTTTCTCTACAGACTTGACTCTACTGATGACTAACAGTTTATGCATAGGCATGGCTCTTAGCTTTCAGCTCAGCTTTCTTTTATCCAAATCCCACATACTTCATAAGTTTTTATTAAAAGTTTCAAATGTGAATCTGATTAGTTGTCAATTCTTAGATATTGTAGGACAGTTTCTTACAACTACTATGATTATGAGTAAAATATTTCAAAAGAGCTATTTGCAGGTTAAGCTAGATTTACTGGACTTTTATCATTCTGCCATGAATATGCTTTGTACCTCTGTTCTTAAGTCACTTGTAAATTGCACGTGCCTGCTTGTTTTAAGGTTAGGAAAACAACAACAACCACAGAAACTAAATCTACTGTCTTTATTTCATGAAATTCATAGCCTATTTTTTTAAAGCTCTTTTTGTACTGTGAACTCAATTAAAGGGATGTTAATATGGAAAAAATAATGCATTAAATTACACACATAAAACATATGCCTTTAAACCATAGATACACCCAAAGTTTTATTTTATATTAAAAATTGATAAATTATGTAGGCATATACAACTTTACACATTCTGAAACAGAGAAGGGCTATTGGGTAATTTTTATAAACATTAAAAAGAAGTTCATATGAGAACAGTAACACTAAAATGATGCAGTTTCTTTTAGAAGTCTATCTTATGTGAAAAATTTCTTAAGGTGTAGACTTAATTTTTGTTATTTACTCAGTTAAATTTATGTATACTGACAGTCATAGCTTGAACTATATACATCATATAGAAAAACATTTTAATTTTTTGTATTTATGTTCTACAGTGCAGTGCTCATTGATATTGTCCACAAATAGAATTTATACAAAATCTTTTTATATAAAAGGAATCCAATATGCTACATTGTATTTCCAAATGAATCAAACTAACTTGGGCTTTGTCTAAAGACAAAAAGTAAAAATATAAAGAAGGAAAATAATATTGATAATTTAGATCAAATATATTGCTACAATGAAAAATGCAGTTTTACTGATTTTAATCTGCCAGAATTCCTATAGATATTTCTCTGAAGAGGAACAATTTTATAACCATCCTCTGTAATTTTTATGGTAAATTTGAAAGTTAAGGTCATTTTTCTCTTTATGTTTCATTTTAACTACAATGTCAATTATTACACTATACTCATTCTGGTAGCTGAATAAGTTATTTTAAAAAATGAACTTTCTGTCCTAAAATTCAATTGAGTAAAAAAATTGATAATAAAATTTATAACATCTTAAAATTTAATAGCTTATGAAACTATGCTTTTAAAAATAATTTGAAGCAAAAAGATCATAGGCATCTGAATTTTTCAAAACAAAATGTGTCAGGTAGTATGAATATTACTAAATAAAGGAATAATCTAGTAAATGAAATGGTAATTTGATTGGTGTACATGTCAATTCATTAATGAGTTTAAACTCATTAAGCAAATTTTATGAGATATCTATTTTGTGTCAACTATTAATTTAGCTGCTGGATATAGAGCAATGACCAAAAGTAAAATTCCCTGATCTAGTGGAGCATATATTTTAGACAATAAAATAATCAACAACAATAACAAAATATGTGTACATATACACACTATGAGTTGTGGTAGGTCCTTTATAGAAAAAAAATAGGCCACTGCAATAGTAAAGAGGATATCAATTTTTGATAGAGAAGTTATTTGTCAGAGACCTGACTAAAATAAGAAAAAGAAAAACAAGTGATAAAGCAAAAATACATAAAGATATGTGAGGTATTGAATGCTGAGTCATGAAAAAAATTCTACCCATCAAAATAACTTGTTAAAGCCAAGTTTATTAACCTACTACGGTAAAGGAGAGATTCAGAATATGGAGTATCTCACATTAATGAGATTTCGAAGGGCAGGACAGAGGTTGTGACTACAAATCTAAGAGTGAGCCCAGCTGAGAGTAGCTGAACTTCCCAGCAAAACCATAGTCAATCGCCAACACTCAGAATCAAGAGCCAATTATATTGTTATTGTTTCAGATTTGGAGGTGCTCATTATGTAGTATTAGACAGGTAATACAAACAAGAACTTGAAAAGATTAGTTACTGATGACTAAATAAATTAAATTGTGCTATAGATACAGCCATTTTCTTCAGCATTTTATCAGTTTTTCTGACTTAATATTCAGCAATATTACATAGCATATACTGAGCAATTGATCCAATAAGATTTCCAAATCATGTCATGGTATTTCCACATAACCACCCTCTTTGCAACTCTTCATGGGTAGATTTTAATCTTCGTTTCATTTCATTTAGCAGTATATCAAAGTAACTTTGAAAGATCCCAATTAAACAAAAAAAATCCAAATTAAGGGTAATCAAAATACAATATATGTGTTTATATAATTGTAAAATTTAATGTTCATAAAAATATTGTTTTTAAATATAAACCTTGTATGGAATCTTCCTACAAACTCAAGAATATATTTAAAATATGTTGCTATGAAAATTATCAACAAAACAGCAATCTAAATGACTTGATCTCAAAATCAATATTAAGAAGATTGCAGACATGCCATTTTCATTATATTTAACTTTATACGTTGATTAGAAGTTTCAGTTTCCTGTGTAATTCACATGACTTGGAAGCAATCCAGTACTCAGGCAGGAACGTTAAGAACTATATAAGAATATAGAACCAGAAAGCAAGAATATGAGCTAAATTTGTTCAGTACCTGTTTGGAATTTTGTTTATGAGTTTCTTAAATATTATTCAAGAGTTACAATTCAATGTCGACTACCATATTTGTCAATTCAATGTATAGAAATTAATTAAATAGCAATGAGAAATAAACATATGACTAGAAGAAGGGACAGAAAACGCTATTGAGATTTTGAAGATGATAACTATGTATAAGCTAATTAAAGCACTAAGATTCTTCTTTGGAAGGCAGGATGATAATAGATTCAATTGAAGAAAAAATAGAAGTGAGAAAACTAGGTCAATGGCAGATTTTCCATCTGTCCCATTCTAAGAGATTTTGATTAATTACACACTTTCTTCTTCCCATTTTTTCTCTTATTCTTCTATAGATTTCTCCTTTTGGCCTTTTAATATGTTTTCTTTTTTTAAAATTTTTTAAAACATGTGATGGGCCTCCAAAAATTATAAAAATAATCAACTAAAATTGAAAAAGGCAAGTTAGCAAAAGAACCAGCTCTATTTACTAAGCTCCTACTCTATGTTTCAAGAAAGGTACTGGTCACTGCAGGGGGGTAACAGGCCTAGTTCCTATGCTTAAGAAAAACCTAGCAAAGGTTGGTAACAGTGAGACTACCTTTTATATGTTTACTTACCCACTAAAATTTTATTAGCTAAAACACCAAAAAATGAAAACGTTATTTAATGTTTTTTTCATTGATTTCAAGGACACAAATGCAAAATTAAAAGTGAAATGGAAAAAAAAATGATGTGGTTAGAGGTATATTTGATGGTTTAGGAAAAGATTGCTATTTATAAAAGGAATAAAGCTGTATTAAGAACATGTATGAGCAATAGATATGCAATATGATGAAGTAAAAATAGAGGGTAAAAGAGATAACTGGAATTTCAAAATTCATGCAACTGCCTAAGTGATATGTAGCCGTTCTGTGGGTGATCCTGTATGGGAATTACTTGTAGGTGTTAATGTAAGGCTTGGAAAAGCACACAGAAAGCACATGCCTGAGGCTCACTGATAGAAATCAATGAAAATGTTTGTTTAGTAAGAGAACTATATAAGTGACAATTTTCCCTAAGAACCCAGGACTACAAATACGTTAACAATATTCCATAAAACAATTATGTGTTGAGTGTAAGAGAAAAATGAATGTAGCAAACAGATACTTTGAGAAGGGGGAGAAAGGGAACATCTTAGAATGTTCCTCTGTTTTCTCATTTCATAGAGGCCCTCAAATTAGTGGCTAAAATATTTATTAATTAAGTAGTGTATTACGTGTGTAAAATTTTATATTGCTGGATAACTTAGTTATTTATGAATTATCTAAGCAGTTTATGTCCATCTTCACTAAGATGCCCAGGTTTGTTGGTTTATCTAAGTAGATTTACCACCAGGAGAGAGAGAGAGAGAGAGAGAGAGGAGAGAGAGAGCAGAAAGGAAAAGAGAGCAGAGGAGAGGGGAGGAGAGGAGAGGAGAGGATATTTCTACATATTACTCAGGATGGATGCAGTATTTTTTTTTTAGTATTATGTAATATCATTTTATGTGTTTAAATTCCTTTGAGAACTCTCAGTTTTGCTTTAAACTTTTCTAAATATATTTCATGTACATTTTTTTCTTCAAAATTATTCCTAGGTAATATTTGTTGTAATCACTTTTTAGAGAATAAAAATATGTCTAGATGTAAAATTAAACGTATAAAGACTCTACTTTCTGTTTCAGATAAAAGCAGTTAACTTTTTGTATATTTTCTAAGATTAACAAGGTTTGTTAATATTTCAAGAGAATTAGATTACTAAAATTAAAATAAATAAACTGTTTGTATTGCCCAATAATTCCTATGCTGACATACACTCCTTTCCTCTAAAACTTTTACTTTCTCACCAGTGAAGTTAACCCATTTATGCCTGAGGTAGCAATTTTTTTAATTTTTGCAATCAGACCTTGGCAATGGCCTTAAGCAGTAGGATATAAATAACTCCCACATACATAGCGTTCCAATAATGGAACACTAGACATAAATGGGTTAAGAGCTTTTGAATGCCTGTGGTATCATTAGGGTCTAAAAAGACTATTTTTAATTCACTGACCTTTAAAATTTGAGAAGGGGTCCCAATACTATTGTGTCGTAGAAATACCTGTGATATAGTGCTATAATTGTATTCTGATATTATAATGAGTAACATTTTTATATGATGTGGTCTAGTGCCCAAAAGGGTATAACAAAACTTAGAATAGATTTATCCTAGGAGAACCTGGGTTTTGTAGGAAGAAATGTACAGAAGAAAATAATATGTCCACCAAGTGGTGGAAACAAAAATATTTAAGAGCCAATGCAGGACTGTGATCCCATTTTTCTTTTTGCGAATCATATCACCATGCTATAAACCCTCCTGTGGCAGTAAATATGTACTATTCCTAAAATATTTTTGTAAAAAGCTTTGAAGTCTTGCTGGCATTATGGTTTCTGTAGTCACATAGGTTGTAAAACATCCAACTCTAACCTAGACTATCTGTTTTGTTTGTGTGTTTGTGTGTGTGTGTGTGTGTGTGTGTTTCTGGAAACAGAAGGACAGATACTTCTGAACTGAGGATTAATGGTCATTTAATCTTCATTTCTGTGGTTTTCTGAAACATTCATTCATTCATTTATCAATAAAAAATTTCTGCTGATCTTCCAAATGTCAATCACACTGTAAATTCACTTGCATGACATGAACTGAAGGACACTAGGGGGAAAATATCCATTAATTTATTTAATAAAGCTCCTAGCAGAGTATAAAGGAACAGGTAGAAGTATATATATATAATTAATTCAAAAGTAAAGGTGATTATCTGAAGCCTAAATAAAATTAGGCAAGAAAAAAAATAAGTTGTGGGCTAACTAAAATTAAAGCATGCCTGTGATAATAAGAGCATCATATAATAAATGCTATGATTTATCTGAAATTTCATTGTGTTTATGTCTTTCTAATGTCAAGTATAAATGTCTTTAATTATCTCTAGAAAGCTTCAAATTATGGTCATATTTTGTACATACACAGTTGTTTTTATTAACTACCACATAGTCTTTACTATCATACCTTACATTTGCTTTTTCCTTTGGGCCTACTGTTTTACAAATATTACCTACCTTTAATATTCTAACTCATCTCCCAGCTATAGCTCCAAACATTTTATGTCTTTCTATTTTGAAATATTTCAGCAATTAAGTTTGTGCTCAGTGATTTAATAAAATTATCTACTGCCTTGGTTTTTCCAAAACTGTTTCCTTGTTTGTTTGAAAGTACTTGGGAAAGAAGTCTGGCAAAATCTGTTCTACTCCCTTTGCCATTTCTTACAAGCTGTTGACCTTGGATGACTTTTAAAGCTAGCTTAATCTGCATTCACTGCTCTACTGACAGGTTAATGCTGTGAGAAGTTTAGTGATTCTTAAAGCTACCAAGCCAGCCATTACTTGCATTTTTGTAGAATGTTCAGCTTTTTCTGAAGATATTCATATGTTACTAAGATTTTCTTTTTCATCGTGAAATAGCTTGTTACTGATTACTTCAATGCATATCATGCTGGGAAACATCACATATGACCCAACATGAATTTCACATTAAAACTTACATTGCTTCCCATATGACAACTTTGTATGAGTCAGTGCTCACTAAAGAACCACATGTTGTAGCAGAATATATTAAAGTGCATTTGATTTTTTTTTTTGAGATGAGTAGTTAGACATATGGGTCTGGAGTTTAGAGGAAACATCTGAACTAAAGATATAAATGCTAATTATCTGAGTATGGTTTTTATTGAAGGCCTGCTAGTAAATGAGATTACACATGCAGGAAAAGAATAAACAGTGAAAAGACAGGGCCTAAGACTGAGCTGGAAGAACTTCACTTTTGTATAACCATGATTCTTCAAAATGAAATGGAAAAGGAGTGACCAGAAAGTCTAAAGAAAAGCAGGACAATGAGTGACAGCATCCAAGGGAAGAGGTAAACCCACAATTCAAACATTCTCATTTAATTATCATCTTCCTTTCTTATGCCACTTTACTAATAACTTCAATAAATTTAAGTAAAATTAAAACAACATTGAAAAAAGCGTTAATATATTATATTATATTTTATAAAATTCACCTATAGTAATATATTTAGGAATTTAAAAACAGATGTTTATTCCTCACGTGTGTGTGTTTGTACATTTGTGTATATGTGTTTGCAGTTTTTACCTAATTTGTGTGCATATTAGTGTTTTTTTTCCCTATAATATCTCCCAACAAAATGTTGAATAAATGACTTACGTGCAGGCTAGTAGAGATACCATATAGGTATGCTCACTTTGTGAAAGAGTGTAGAGGGGAACTTCTATAAAGGATTATATGCACATAAAAATCCAACAGATATGCCAAAGAAAAATGGCATCTCTATCTTGATTCACAATGATACATGGAATTTAAAAGGAACAGAGAAGGCATTAGTAACTACTCAAAAGTTCATGCAAAAATTCAAAGACATGTAATACTGCCAAGAAGCCAAGAACCATGACTGAGGAAATTGAACCCCATAGTTAGAAGATACCAACTATAATAAATGAGGAGAAGAACAGTAGTGTGAAACTGAACAAGGGTACATTGTGAACTTTGTATTTTCTGATAAAACAGGAACATACAGAGAAAGGCAGTATATAGAAAAAATATTAAAAAATCATTGTTAAAGTACTTTCTGGGTTGTAGAAATCACTAAAAGTACAGTGAAAGATAGATAGAAATCTTATGTATCAGATGTAGAAAGAGATCTTTGAAAATCAACTGTATAACTCACAGCTACTACAATCCTGGTCCAATTGTACTGGCATCAGTTTTCTGCACTAACATAAACCCCTTGTGATTGAGTTGATGAGATTTGCTACTTTCTTTTTCAGGTGGCTCTCAAGTCCCACACTTAAAAGTAATTTGTAAGCCTCTTAATACCACCTTGCTCGGGGTCCTGTCTGCAGAGATAAAAAGGAGTAAAAGGTGATGAGGATGAACAGATATTCTTACTTCTTCTTTAGAAGACTTTCCTGCCCTTTTTCAAAATTGACTGCACAATATTAACAAGTTTATATTTTTATACCTTTTCTTCATGCCTTCATCAGCTGTACAGTTTATGCCTTTGCTCACCTCTGGATAGGTATGCGTTTAACTTGCTTTGTTTAATATTCTTCTCTAAGTCATATAGCTTGAGAACTTTGAATTACAGCATTGTCCTATAACACGTACAGCACCTTTGGGGTTGGGCTGCTTATTATTTAATGTAGGCTTCATCAGAACTTTTTTACTGGGCTTATTCTATTCATGATGAAATTATTGAATGGATTGGACTTGGCAGCCTGTAATCCAGAACGTGTTTTTATTTCTTTATATCAGTGGCTTTAGAATATGCTGTCAGATCTCCCTTTCCTACAGTAAGGCACTATTTCATGAAAATTCTAGAACTTTTTAAATTCACTTTTGAATATTAAAAATGTTTCTTTTTCTTTTGAAAACAGTTTTTATAATTATATTTCTTATTCAATTTAATACTTTTTTTTCCTTCTCTCACAAGCTCAGGTAGGCCTGACCAACATTTGGCAGATGACAGTGTAGAAAGTTACATAGATAGTAAATACAAATGGTAAAGCTGGTGATATCTTAGTATAGCTTCTGGAATCCCTTTCTGGCAAAGTTTAATGTTTCCTCAAAATATTGGTATTTTGCAGATGAATGACTTCTAATATTGCACTCTTCCCTAACAGATGATGGTGTGTTGTTTGATTCCCTCTTCAAATCATGCATCCAATGAGATATCCAGTGGATAAGGGTAGCTCTTATTGTTGGAGCTACCCTTGCCTGGGATTGCAGAGCTCTTGACCAAGTTCCCTTTAAGATAACTCTCCAACCCAGCTCCTTACTGTGTACATATATAACGCAGCCAAAATCTAGAAGTTCATGTTGATCTCAGTTCTAACATCAGAGACAGATGCAACTATCTTTTTACCTGTAAATTTTCACTGAAGGGCACTAGATACAAGTCCCTGGGCTGTTTAAAGACCAAAAGACATATATAATGACTGAGTAGATGTCATGAAGTCAGTTGACTTGAAATGGTAAAGGTCCAGATGGGTGGAAGTAGCACAGGACACACACAGCTTTCTTCAGATAATTCTCTATCAATCCTCTCTGAAAATTTGTCTCCTGCTTTCCGCTTTGTACCATTAGGAGTGGGAATGAGCTAAATTTTCCTTCCTTCAGAAACACCTCTATTTGAAATTTGAGTGAAACTTGTCACCTATTATCCCCAGGTTTCCATTCTCATCTAAATTGAGAAAATAGAAAGTTTTTTTAACATCCCATTATATATTAAAGAATCATTTCTTTAACCATTTAAATGAGGAAAAGGTGATGATGATGAAAATGTTAGTTATTAAAAAACATAATGTATAGACTCTTATGATTGAATAAAAAGAATGGTGTAGAGCTAAACCAAATGAAGGAATTATTGTTTGGAGGCAAAATTCACTGATTTCATTATTGAAAGATCACCTGAATATTCAGGGGAACAGCTCATTTTAATTTGTTTGTCTTAATAAAAATGCTTCATGAACTAAAATGAAGAAAAACAGGAAATATATTTCTAAATTTCAATATATAATTTAATATTTGAGCTCAATATTTGATATTAATGTATTTTTTAACAAATAGTCTTTATTAAATGAAACTGGTATACATATTGTTTAAATATTTGTTATTAATATCATTACTCTTCTTAGTGGAATTTAAAAATTATAATATCCTGAAAACTATGTAAAACAGCGACTGCAATTAGAATATTCTTTGTATGGTGGAAAGTAATGTGCTCTTTTAAAGAGACCGGAGGACATTATCATTAAACAACCAGGGAAACAGTATCAGATACTGTACTTCTGATATCTAATAACATTCACAGTTGATATTGTCGAAGTTGCATCAAATCATTTCATTATACTGCAAAAGCTGTTCAGGAAAGATCTAAATATGTCATGTTTTATGCTTTGTACAACTATATCTTTAGTAGCTATAGGCACTGGGTAGAGAGAGCTCCATTTTAACTTTAAATCTAGATTAGCCAATTTAGAGTAGAAAATAGAAATTTTGATCAACAAACATGTCAATATCGGAAGTGAAATTTAAAAAAAAACATGGGGGTAAACTAAACTAGTACAGACTAAATGTTGTCTAATAAAAATAATGCACACATAGAAAAAAAGATAAATATACCTCAAGAAAAAATCTTGGAATCATTCTTTATTACAAGGGTTAAATTTAAAAAAAAAAAATCCAGGCTGCCTTTCAGAGTTTCAGGCAATTTCCATTAGGCTTAATTTTCAAGCATGGTGTCGGGGGCAGGGAACAAAAATATTTAAACATTGGAAATTTTAAAGTGCTAGTTTTGATTTGACAATTACTTTTTACATCTATTTTATGTGGATAAGACAATTCAATCTTTTATTGGTTATAAAGAAGACATTTGACTTGATGAGCTCAGAGTATCTCCATCTTTGTTGTTTTAGTTCTCTCATTATACAGCCTTACTCATGATAAGATTGCTAAGTCCTCTCAAAGTGTTAATTCCCTGATAATTGATAGGTAACAGTACTCTCATTACTTTAACTTTTCGAGAGATGTGTTTACTGCAAAGAATATTCTTGCCTGATATATTCTTAGTTGAAAATTAGGCTGTTGGCCTTAAATTTCTTGTATACATCCTTTGCTAATGTGCTAATCTGGGAAACAATGTGAGTTCCCAGTAATGATTTTCACCATTTATCCAAATAGCTTAATAAAGACAGGCTTAAGAAGCTTGCTTCACTCTATGAACCTGGCTCTTGGCCTTACTTTGATTTTAATTGACCTTTCAAAGTTTGGAGAAGAGAATGGCCTTCCAAATGAAACTCTGCATCCCAAGATAGACATACGATAGAGAAAGAACTATGAGACAAACAGATATCTCGGTTTTTACAAACCATTTTTGTTAATTAAAACTCCAGTACCTAGTACAATGAACTAGCTTCATTTCACAGATGACATTATTTTATTGCTTATCCATAGCAAGTCTTTCCCTAGAGATGAAACAGGGAAGGGGATCTGTAAGCTATATTTAAAGCACAGATTGCTAAACTTTGGAACAGCATACCTTTCTAAGGATCTGATGAAAAACCCATAAGCATTCTCTCTAGAGAAAATCACAAATACATATGTCTGTGCAGGAGACTACTTACTACTCAACAACAAAAAGGAAGGAATTGCTGTTATGGCAATACAAATAAACTTCAAAAACATTATCTAGAGTAAAAGAAACTAGAAATAAAAAAACATGATTTTACTTATATGCAACTTGGCAAAACTAAGCTACAATGATGGAACATAGATACAATGTTTACCAGAGGTTAGGCATTCAGATGACTACAAAGAAATACAAAAAGCTATCTGGAGTGTTGAACATGTTCTATATGTTGACAGTAGTTGTAATTACAGAGGTACTTTTATTGGTTAAACCTCATTTTAATTTATAAAAGTTAAACTTCAGTAAATTTACTTTTAAAAAGTCACATACAGGCCAGGCACAGTGGCTCGTGCCTGTAATCCCAGCATTTTGGAAGGTTGAGGTGGGAGAACTGCTTGAGCCCAGGAGTCTGAGACCATCCTGGGCAACATAGTGAGACTCCATCTCTACAGAAAAAAAAAAAATAGCCATATGTGGTGGTGGGTGCCTGTGGTCCCAGCTACTTGGGAGGCTGAGGTCAGGGGAATTGCTTAAGCTCGAGAGCTCTAGGCTAAAATGAGCCATGATTGTGCCACTGCACTACAGGTTAGGCAACAGAGTGAGACCCTGTTGAGAGAGAGAGAGAGAAGTAACATACCCACAGATTCAGGTGGTCCACAGACTGGATGAAGTCCTTCTTTGTATCTCTTAAATATCTTTGAATCCAAGTCTGTATAATAAAATATGTAGTACAAAGTACATAATAAAAAAATTGGATTAGATTATGAAAGGCCACAGTACCTTAGTATTTTCTCTGAAAGAGTGAGGAAGCATGTATGTTTTACAAAAAATCAAACAGTACACAAAATTTTAGTGTTCATTGCTTGTATAGCCTTGAGCCCAAATAAAGATAATTCTGAAGTTAGCTCTAAAAATTATCATAACTTATAATGAGAAACAGATCCTTTGCATATATTTTCGAATATTCTGATAAATTCCAGAAAATAGGTATTACATGTGTGCATGCACACACACACAACACACACACACACATTTAACATAAATAAAAGCAGGGAGAAAACAGAAGGATCTAATTATGAAGTATTGGAGTTGACGGGAATTATCCAGATTCTCTATTTTGCTCTGGAAACAGATGATGCCCTCTGTTGTTCAGGGAACAAAAGAGTGCAGGTATAGAGTGTGGGCTTGAGGAAAGGGATACAGGTTTGCAGTAGCTGCTTAGGGAAATAAGAAGGAAATGATGTAAAACAAACAAAAGAAAGGTCTGCAGAGTGGCACAGACTATCCAGCTAAAACTGGAATCCAGAGATCTCTCCCATTGTGCTCCATAGTCTTGGAGGGAAGAAGAGCTACAGATGAATTAAGATGGGAGGGAGGGGCTTGAAGGTCGATGTCTGAAGCACTAGACATCATTGCTTGTGGGAGTGGAATCAATGCTACTGACCTTGGGATACATGCTGAAAAGGAAAGAAAGAGACCCTGGGCAGAAAAAGTTGATAAACTAAAGGAAAAGGAGGTAGTTCAAGGCACAGGTGTTCAATCTGTGCTATACTTTGGAAGGCAAAAAAGTGAGTAGGTTAGAGTCCTGGAGAAAGAAGATGCTACAGGAAAGGGTGGTATATTTGGCCTTTAAAATCTTAGCAGTACAGTAATGTGCTTTCTGAAATCTGGGCTTTATTATCTTCTAAGACTGAAAGTGAGACTGTGCTTTCAATTGAAACAGAAACAGAATTGGTGGAAGTGACCTACTTACTAACTCAACAGACACAGATGTAAAACTTAGTAGGAAAAAAAATTACTTAAAAAATTTGCTTTATCAAGATTAGGAACAGAACATAAGAGATAGGAGAAGTGAGGGGAGCAAGAAAGACCAAAGAGAGAAGAAAGATAAGTCATTTTGTTGTTTATTTTTTTCCTGAGACATCTAGTTTACAATCTCTTTGTCATGTCTATTCTAAATTCTAACTACATCTATCTATCTATCTATCTATCTATCTATCTATCTATCTATCTATCTATCTATCTATCATCTTACAGTGTAAGGAACATGGGCCTTCTCCCAATTGTCTGATTATTTCGGTCTTAACGCAAGGTTAGATTCACTGTCCAAAGCCATGTTCTGGTCCTGACACAGGGATTTTCTCAGTGAAAATTCCTAGCAGATTCCCCACCAGTCTGTCATCCAGGAGTGAAGCTGTATTACTTTTAAAAACCAAAAAGAATCTGCTCATCTTTAGCACTGACCCACCCTTCTCAGGTTTCTCTCATGAACACCAGGATTGACTACAGAAAAGAATAAGAAAACAGAATACAGGTACTTCTTCATGGCCAGATTCCTGGGGGCTCAGGGACTTTATTTTTGCATTGTGCAAATTACATTCCTCAAATAAAATTCTATTATGGATGTAAATGTCTAGTTCAAAGGTTTTTTATTCTAGTAATTTAAAAAGTAAATCATTAATTAAATACATTAAAAGTATAAAATGTGAGTATGCATATTTATATCATATCTATCTATCTATCTATCATATATCTATCTGTCTAGTAAACATGAGTAAATTCTAAAGTAAATTAACTATTTTGGACTTCCAAAGAGATGTAGTCATTTTACGTTGCAATAAGCTATATGAAAAAAGGTGGTCCTGAACAATACTCCTAATGAATAGGAGAGGCAGAGCCAATGGCTTTTGAAGGTGATTTCTCCCAGGCTATTTCCTGAAAATCAGGAGAATTCTTTTACATATGTATATATATAATGTGTATATATACATATATATGTATATATATAAGTATATATATGTGTATATATATGTATATATGTGTATATATACTTATATATGTATATAAGTATATATATGTGTATATATATGTATATATATATGTGTATATATATGTGTGTATATATATATGTGTATATATGTGTGTGTATATATATATATAAAGTATATGTGTATATACTTTAAGTTCTGGGGTACATGTGCAGAGCGTGCAGGTCTGTTATGTAAGTATACACGTGCCATGGTGGTTTGCTGCACCTATCAACCCATCACCTACATTAGGTATTTCTCTTAATGCTCTCCCTCCCCTATCCCCCCATCCCCTGACAGGGCCCAGTGTATGATGTTCCCCTCCCTGTGTCCATGTGTTCTTATTGTTCAACTCATTGTTCAACATTTGTGAGAACATGTGCTGTTTGGTTTTCTGTTCTCGTGTTAGTTTACTGAGAATGATGGTTTCCAGCTTCATCTATGTCCCCGCAAAGGACATGAACTCATCCTTTTTTATGGCTGCATAGTATTCCGTGGTGTATATGTGCCACATTTTCTTTATCCAGTCTGTCATTGAGGTACATTTGGGTTGGTTCCAAGTCTTTGCTATTGTGAATAGTGCTGCAATAAACATATGTGTGCATGTGTCTTTGCAGTAGAATTATTTATAATCCTTTGGATATATACCCAGTAATGGGATTGCTGGGTCAAGTGATATTTCTAGTTCTAGATCCTTGAGGAATCGCCACACTGTCTTCTACAATGGTTGAACTAATTTACACTTCCACCAACAGATGCATTCCTATTTCTCCACATCCTCCCCAACATCTGTTGTTTCCTGACTTTTTAATGATTGCTGTTCTCACTGGCATGAGATGGTATCTCATTGTGGTTTTGATTTGCATTTCTCTAATGACCAGCAAGAATAGAAATCATAACAGTCTACAGGAGAATTCTAAAGATACAGTATTATCAAGGAAAGAGACAAAGCTTAAGTGTGAGGTTAGCTCTCCAAAGGGTCATATAGTCTAACTTAGGATCCAGGAACAGACATACCTGTAGGATCCAGGTAGATCCAACTCTATCTGAGGGAAGGAGCATGGGCTGGCTAAAAGGGTCAGTGGCAAATTGGAAAGTATTAAATAATTTAAATTAGCAGTTACTATTCCCTTTAACTCATTACTGATATGTGAAAAGGTGAATATTCCCAAATAATTTAATAATTTCAGAGGGGTTACAATTAAGATTTTTAGGTTAAATCTCTAAATATGTTCATTATATAACGGAATTTAAAAGTGTAAACTATACTGTTTGAGCCAGAAAACAGTCTGCAGGCAAGATGGAGCTTAAGGGTGTCTGGTTTGTACTCTCTGGTCTGAAGACAAAACTGTTTAGTTAGTAATCTGAAAGCTCAGGACCTTCCCCTGGATGTCTCTGGCCTAATATGTAATGTCATACAATAAGTTCAAGGTTCTTTGCCTTTATTTACTTAACAGAAAAATATTGGTGATATCTGAGAGCTTACATTTTAGGATTGTTATAAGGGCCAAATAAGATAATGGAGAATTGGATCTGAAATGTTCAAAATGCTACTGAAAAATACTTTTATTAATTACAATGGTGATTTATGAATCATGACAAAGATCTATAACTGATGAACAAATAATATATTTTTTCTGGGTTGTCACCTCTGTTTTCAGTCTAGAGAATTGTTTTTTGTACTGTCTTCATAAGAAACTATTATCACTTTAAAGTGTGTAAAATATCACTGGGCCAACACAATTTATCACTTGGCCAGACTCATAGGAAGTTGGTTGACGTGTTAATTTAACAAGTGTTATTTCAGCTGTAAAATTTTGAGTGGTTGCCTGGTCCCTTGAGATCTGAGGTAATCATGATATGATTAATACCCTAGTGGTTCTCTTCCAGTATGAATTGTAACTGAACTGAATTTTTAGAAAATATCTTAATCACACAATAGTGCTATTAAATGAGTGCTTATGGATTTAGAAATGAAAGATGTTTTAACAATTTAAATATTAGACTATAGAGAGGGGGTAAAATTAGCACCAGTTAAGATGAATGTTACAAAAACTGACTGGGTTGTTCAATGGTTCTCATGGACAGCTGTAAAGATCAGCCACTGTGTCCAAAGGGATGTATTAAGCTTGAGCGTGGTTTGGGAATTTGTCAATATCAAAGAGGTGAACTTTCATAAGCAGGTTCTAGCTGCTCTGTAGAAGTTTGTAGATAATCCTCAGGAAGGCTCAGTTCCGTGGAAAGCATCATTTATACATGACTGCAACTTGTACATCCAGTGGCATGAATGGGAGACTCTAGAAGCCGTATCGATGAGCATCTGGAGCTACATCAATTCAGTGATTTCATTGGTCATATATATTTTGTTTTTAAATTATATATAATTTAATAATATCAAAGATACATGTAATGAAGATACAGCTGGATAAGTTTTGGAAAATACCACCCATGTAAACCCACACATGAATTAAATGTGTACTGAACATTCCAACACTCTAGTAAGTAATCTCATGCCCCTTTTACGCACATCCCTATCCTGAGAGGCAACTACTCTTCTAGTTCTATAACCATAGATCCTTTTGTTTGTTATAAAATTTTATCCAAATAGAATCATACCTTACACAATTTTCTCGTATCTAGCTTGTTTTGCGCAATATGTTAACATTCATCCAGGTTGTTTAGCATATCAGTATTCCTTTCTATTGCTCTATCTCTCTCATTATTTTTCTCATTCTCTCTTGATTAGCCTAAGGTTTTATCAAAATAAAAATTTCAAATATTGGCTTTACTAATTTTTTATTGTTTGTCCATATTCTATTATTTCCTATCATTTATTATTTCTTCTATTTATTTTGGGTAAAATTCACAATTTTGCTGGCTTTTAGTTTAATTCTCAGGTTTATTAAAGTATACAGAAAAAGAAAAATAAAATTGTATCTATTTATTTGTAAAATGTGATGTTTTGACAAATATATACAATGTAAAATGAATGAATCAAGCTAATTTACATATCTATCACCTCACATACTTATTTTTTCATAGTAAGACATTTTAGTATCTACTCTCTTTGCAATTTTCAAGCGTACAATATATTATTGTTAACTGTAGGCACCATGCTGTTCAATAGATTCCCAGAACTTATTCATCTTAACTGAGACTTTGTACATTTTGACCAATATCACCCTCTTTCCATCTCCTTTCCTACCTACTGGTAAACATCATTCCACTTTCTATTTCTATGTTGAGTTCACTTTTTTAGATTGCACATATAAGTGACATCATGGATTATTTGTCTTTGTGTGCCTGGCTTAGTTCTCTTAGCAACATATATTCCAGGATCATGCATGTTGTTGCAAATGACAGAATTTCCTTTTCTTCAGGCTGAATAATATGTCATTGTATATATGCATTTTATACACACACACACACACACACACACACACACACATACACACTTTATCCATGCATCTGTTGATGGACCCTCAGGTTGATTCTATATCTTGGCTATTGGAAAAAATGCTATGATTAATATGGAAGTGGAGATACTTCGTTGACATACTAACTTCCGTTTCTTTGGACACATACCAGAAGTGGGATTGTTGCATCATATGGTAGTTCTATTTTTTATTTTTTAAGAACCACCATCTCTTTTCCAAAATGGAAATGTACTAATATACATTCCCGCCAATACTGCACGAGGGCTCCCTTTATGCCACATTCTCACCAACACTTGCTGTGTTTTGTCTTCTTTTTGTATTTATAAATGTTTTAGTTTTAATTGAACAAAATATCCATATATAACATTTAAAACATTGTTTTAAAATATGTATACATTGCAAAATGACTAAATAAAGCTAATTAATGTATGTATTACTTCATATACTTATCATCTTTTGTGGTATTTTGTCTTTTTGATATAGCTATTCTAAAAGATATCAAAGAATATCTCATTGTGGTTTTAATTTGCTTCTACCTGATGGTTAGTGATGTTGAGCAATTTGTGGATAATTGTTGGCCATTTGTATAGCTTCTATTAAAAAATGTTTACACTAACCATTTGCTCATTTTTTGAATTATTTGAATTATTTATAGGTTTTGGATATTAACCTTTTATGGGGTGTATGATTTGAAATATTTTATCTCATTCTATAGGTTTTCTCTTCACTATGTCTTCTTTTTTGTGCAGAAGCTTTTTAGCTTGTTGTAACCTTAAGCTTGTAGCAAATGAAGCTTATCTATTTTTATTGCTGCTGTCTGTGCTTATAATATCCAATTTGTTTCTTTCCCAGACCCATGTCAAGAAACATTTTCCCTATGTTTTCTTTTAGTAGTTTACAGTTACATGTCTTATATTTAAGTGTTTAATCCATTTTAGTTCATATTTGTATATGAGGTGCGATAAAGTTCTCATTTCATTATTTTGCAAGTGGATAAGTTTTTCCAACATTATTTACTCAAAGACTGTTCTTTCCACATTTTGTGTTGGCACATTTGTTGAAGATCAATTGACTGTAAATTTACAGATTTATGTCCCTGTTCTGTATTATTTTCCATTGGTTTATGTGTCTTCTTTTATGCCATTGTCATGGTCTTTTGATTACTATAGTTTTGTAGTATATTTTGAAATCAAGTAATGTGATGCCTTCAGCTTTGTTCTATTTTGCTCAGGATTTCTTTGGCTATTCAGAGTCTTTTGTGGTTCCTTGAAAATTTTAGGATTGTTTTTACTATTTCTATAAAAAAAGTCATTGGAATTTTTATAGGGATTGCACTGAATCTGTAAATTGCTTTGGGTATCACGGATACTTTAATAATATTAATTTTCCAAACCATGAACATGGGATATATATTCACTTATTTTGTCTTCAATTTCCTTTATCAGTTTTATAAATTTCAGTGTACAGATTTCTTACCTCCTTATGTAAATTAATTCCTAAGTATTTTAATTTTTAAGGCTATTCTAAATGAGATAATTTTATTAACTTCTTTTTTACAGAGGTTTTTGTTAGTGTATAGAAATGTTCCTAATTTTTGTATCTTGATTTTGTATTCTATGAATCTCCCTGAATTTATATATTAGTTCTAACAGTTATTTGTTCAATTATTTAGCATTTTCAATTTAAAAGATCATGTCATCTGCAAACAATTTTACTTCTTCTTTCCAATTTAGATACCTTTTATTTGTCCTGCTTAATTGCTCTGGCTAGGACTTCCAGTGCTATATTGAGTAGAAGTAACAAGAGTGGCATACTTGTCATGTTCCTGTTGAGGACAATGTTAGCTTGTGTGCTTGTCCTATATAGCCTTTATTATGTTGAGATACATTATTTCTGTAATTTGTGAGAGTTGTTTTTTGATTATGAATTGAAGTATTTTTTAAATGCTTTTTCTGCCTCTATTGAGATAATCTTTTGATTTTTATCCTTTTTCAGTTAATATGGTATATCACATTGATTTGCATATGTTGAACCATCCTTACATATCAGAAGTATATGCCACTTGATTACAGTGTACGATCTTTTCAATATGATGTTCAATTTGGTTTGTCAATACTTTGTTGAGAATGTTTACACCTGTGTTTACTGGGGATATGGGCCTATAATTTTCTTTTCTTGTAGGCTCCTTCTCTTGCTTTGGTCAGAATAATGCTGGTCTCATAAGAATTTGAAAGTGTTCTCTCCCTTCAGATTTTATGGATAAATTTGAGAAGTATTATTATTCGTTTTTCTTTAAATGACTGGTAGAATTCACCAATGAAGCCATCATGTTTTGGGCTTTATATTTTGGAAGGTTTTTGATTACTGATTCAATCTCTTTATTCATTATGATCTGTTCAGGCTTCCTATTTCTTTATGATTTAGTCTTAATTGGTTGGATGCTCCTATAAATTTACCCATTTCTTCTAAGCTCTCTATCCAACTTTTGGCATGTAATTTTCCATATTATTCTCTTCTGATGGTTGAATTTCTGTGGTATCAGAAGCTTAATGTCTCTGTTTCATTGATAATTTTATTTTAGCTTTTTCTATTTTTTCCCTTTGGTAGTTCAGTTAAAAGTATGTCAGTTTTATCTTTTCAAAAAACCAGCTTTTTCTAAATGATCTTTTTATTGTTTTGTAGTTTTTCTTTCACGTATTCCTCCTCTGGTTTGTGTTTTTTGCTTTATT